>NC_000001.11:245123515-245275030 GCF_000001405.40 Homo sapiens | reverse complement strand
CTCACGCCAGTTAGAATGGCGATCATTAAAAAGTCAGGAAACAATAGATGCTGGAGAGGATGTGAAGAAATAGGAATGCTTTTACACTGTTGGTGGGAGTGTAAATTAGTTCAACCATTTTGGAAGACAGTGTGGCAATTCCTCAAGGATCTAGAACCAGAAATATCATCTGACCCAGCAATCCCCTTACTGGGTATATACCCAAAGGATCATAAATCATTCTACTATAAAGATTCCTCAAGGATCTAGAACCAGAAATATCATCTGACCCAGCAATCCCCTTACTGGGTATATACCCAAAGGATTATAAATCATTCTACTATAAAGACACATGCACACATATGTTTATTGCGGCACTGTTCACAATAGCAAAGACTTGGAACCAACCCAAATGCCCAACAATGATAGACTGGATAAAGAAAATGTGGCACATATACACCATGGAATACTATGCAGCCATAAAAAAAGGTGCATTCATGTCATGTCCTTTGCAGGGACATGGATGAAGCTGGAAACCATCATTCTCAGCAAACTAACACAAGAACAGAAAACCAAACACCGCATGTTCTCACTCATAAGTGGGAGTTGAATAATGAGGATATATGGACACAGGGAGGGGAACATCACACACCGGGGCCTGTTGTGGGGTGGGGGGCTAGGGGAGGGATAGCATTAGGATAAATACCTAATGTAGATGATGGATCGATGGGTGCAGCAAACCACCATGGCATGTGTATACCTATGAAACAAACCTGCAGGTTCTGCACATGTATCCCAGAACTTAAAGTATAATTAAAAAAAGACAAAAGTATAAAAAATAATTATGTAAAATATGTTAATGGATACACAACATAAAAACATGAATTTGTGACATCAATAACAAAGTGTGCAGAAAAGCATATAGATTTTGTATGTGACTGAAGTTGTTGTCAGCTTAGAACAGATTAATATAACTATAAAATGTTTTATGTAATCCCCATGTTAACCACAAAGAAAATATCTATAGGCGATACACAACAGAAAATGAAAAAGTAATCAAAGAACATTGCTAGAAGAAAAATGAGGGAAACAAAAAGGAAGACAGTGAGAGGGACAAAAGAGCTACAAGGTAGATAAAAACAATGAGCAAAATGGCAATAGTAAGTCCTTGCCTATCAGTAATGACTTTTCATGTAAGTGAATTAAATCCCTCAATCAGAAGACATACAGTAGCTAAATGGATTTTAAAAACAAGCTTCAGCTATATGCTGTCTACAAGGGACTCATTTTGGATTTAAAAACACACATAGGCTGAAAATGAAAGGGTAAAGAGAGGTAGTCTACGTAAATGGTAACCAAAAGACAGCAGGGATGACCATACTTATATCACACAAAATAGACTTTAAGACAAAAACTGCCACAAGAAACCAGAAACAACATTATTTAATGATAAAAGAGTGAATTTACCAGGAAGATACAACAATTATAAATATGCATGTAGCCAACATCAGAGACCCAAAGATATAAAACATGGACAGAATTGAAAAGAGAAATAGGAAGCAACACAACAATAGTAGGAGATTTCAATATCCCACTTTTGTTTTTTGGGGTTTTTTTTTTTTTTTTTTTTTTTTTGAGATAAGTCTCGCTCTGTTCCCCAGGCAGGAGTGCCATGGCACTATCTCGGCTCACTGCAAACTCTGCTGCCTGGGTTCAAGCGATTCTCTGGCCTCAGCCTCCCAAGTAGCTGAGATGACTGGCATGTGCCACAACATCCAGCTAATTTTTGTATTTTTTTTAAGTAGAGACAGGGTTTCACCATGTTGCCCATGCTGGTCTCAAACTCCTGACCTCAAGTGATCCGCCCACCTCGGCCTCCCAAAGTGCTGGGATTACAGGTGTTAGCCACTGTGCCTGGCTCAATATCCCACTTTCAATAATGTATAGAGTACAGTATGTCAGCCAAACAAAAGGCTAATAAAAAAAAAACAGAGGACTTGAAGAACACTACAGATCGAGGGACCCAACAGACATTTATAAAACATTTCACCCAAAAGCAGCAGAATACACATTCGTTTCAAGTACACACAGAACATTCTCCAGGATACGTCACATGTTAAGGCACAAAACAAGACTTAACAGATTTAAGAAGTTTAAAATCATACCACATTTTTTTCAACCACAATGGAATGAAACTGAAAATCAATAGCAGAAGAAAACCTGGAAAATTCACAAATATGTGAAAACGAAACAATTCACTCTTAACCACTGAGTCAAAGAAAACAATCACTGGGGAATTTAGAAAATACCTTGAGACAAACAAAAATGAAAATACAACACACCAAAACCTGTGAGCTGTAGCAAAAACAATACTAGGAGAGAAGTTTATAGTAGTAAACACCTATGTTAAAAAAGAATAAAGATCTCAAATAAACAACCCAACTTTATAACTGAAGAAACTAGAAAAAGAAAAAAACAAACTAAGCCAAAGTTAGCAGATGGAAGGAAATTATAATAAAGATTATAATTGAAAGAAATGAAATAGAAAATATAAAAACAATAGAAAAAAGAAACAACCAAACCAAGACTTGATTTTTTTAAAAGAAAAACAAAATTAATGATCTGTTTTTTGTTTGTTTGTTTTTTAAAGAGATGAAGGGGGCGGGTCTTGCTATGTTGCCTAGGCTGGTCTTGAACTTCTGAGCTCAAGTGATCCTTCTGCTTCAGCATCCCAAATAGCTGGAACTACAGGCACACACCACTGTACCTGGCAAAAATTGACAAACTCTTAGGCAGACTAACTAAGAAAAAAGGAGAAAAGGTCCAAATAAATAAAATCAGAAATAAAAGAGGGGGCATTACAACTGATGCCACAGAATAAAAAGTATTAATAAAAGACCACAGTGAACAATTATATACCAACAAATTAGATAACCTAGAAGAAATGGATAAATTCCTAGAGATATACAAACTACCAAGACTGAATCATGATGAAACAGAAAATCTGAACAGATCTTTTACTAGAAATGGGATTGAATCAGTAACCAAAAATCTCCCAAAAAGAAAAGTCTAAGACAAGGTGGTTTCACTGGAGAACTCTACCAAATATTTAAAGAATTAATGCCAATCCTTCTCAAACTCTCCTTAAAAAATGAAGAGAAGGGAACACTTCCAAACTTGTTTTTTGAGGCTAGCATTATAGTGATAACAAAGTCAAAGACACTACAAGAAAAGAAAACTACATACAGCCCAATATCCCTGATGAATACAGATACACAAATTTTCAACAAAATACAAAACTGAATCAAAAGGACATTAAAAAGATAATATATTATGGTCAAGTGGGATTTATCCCAGAGATGCAAAGATGGTTCAATATACAAAAGTCAATCAATGTGGTACATCACATTAAAAGACTGAAAGATAAAAATAATATGATCATCTCAAAATATGTAAAAAAAAAAAAAAAGCATTTGACTGAATTCAACATCCTTTCATTATAAGAACTGCAAGAAACCAGGAAAAAAAGGAAATTGCCTCAACATAATAAAGTCCATATATGAAAAGTCAACATCCTATGTACATGGATTACAAGACTTAATAAAGTCCATATATAAAAAGTCAACATAATAAAGTCCATATATGAAAATTCAACATCCTATGTACATGGATTACAAGACTTAATATTGTTAAAATGTCCATAGTACCTGAAGTGAGTCATAGATTTAATGAAATTCCTAGCAAATTCCCAATGGCATTTTTTGAAGAATAGAAAAAAACAGTCCTAAAATTCACATGGAACCAACCACAAAGGACCCTGAATAGCCAAAACAATCTGAAGAAAAAAGAACAAAGCTAGAATTTTCACACTTTCTGATCTCGAAACATCTTACAAAGCTACTGTAATCAAAACAGTATGACATTGGCATAAAGACAGACACACAGACCAGTGGAGCAGAATAGAGAGATCAGAAGTAAACCCACATATACACAGAGAAATGATCTTCAGCAAGGGTGCCAAGACAACACAGTGGGGAAAGGATTGTCTCACAAAGTGGTGCTAGGAAAACTAGATACCCACATGCAAAAGAAGCATTGGATCCTTATCTTACGCATACATAAACCTCAACTCAAAATGGATTAAAGGACTTAAATGTAGACCTGAAACTACAAACCTCCTAGAAGAAAACATAGGGGGAAAGTTTCAAAACATTGGTCTTGGCAATGATTTCTTGGATATGCCAACAAAAGCAAAAATAGACAAGTGAGATTATATCAAACGAAAAACCTTCTGAATAGCAAAGGAAAGCATCAACAGAGTGAAAAGGTAACCTGTGCAGTGGGAGAAAATACATGCAAACCATCTATCTGAAAAGAGATTGATATCTAAAATATACAAGGAATTCCTACAACTCAATAGCAAAAGCAAATAAACCAATTTTTAAAATACATAAAGGAAAGGACCTAAATAGACCTTTCTGTAAGGAAAACATACAAATGACAAGCAGGTATATGAAAAGATGCTCAATATCACAAATGTCAGAGAAATGCAAATCAAAACCACAATGAAGTATCACCCCATGCCTGTTAGGATGGCCATGATTATAGAAACACAAAAAGAAAGGAAAGGAAAGGGAAAGGGAAGGAAAAAGGAAAGGGAAACAAAGAAGGAAGGGAAAGAAAAAGGGAAGGGAAGGGAAGGAGGAAGGGAAGGGAAAGGAAAAAGGAAGTGAAGGAGGGGAAGGGAAGATGGAAGGGAAGGGAAGGAAAGAAGGAAAGGAAGGGAAAGGAAGAAGGAAGGGAAGAAGAAAGGAAAGGGAAAGGAAGAAGGAAGGGAAGAAGAAAGGGAAGGGAAAAGAAGAAGGAATGGAAGGGAAGAAGGGAGGGAAGAGAAAGGAAGAAGGAAGGGAAGGAAAGAAGGAAGAAGAAAAAAGAACAGCAGAAAGTAAGTGTTGATTAGGATGTGGAGAAACTGAAATCCTTGTTCACTGTTGATGAGAATATATAATGCTGCTGCTATGCAAAACAGAATGGAGTTTCCTCAGAAAATTAAAAACAGAACTACCATGTGATCTAGCAACCCCACCTCTGGGTATTTATTCAATAGAATTGAAAACAGAATCTCAAAGAAATATTTGCATTCCCATGTTCGCTGCATCACTGTTCACGATAGCAAAACAGTGGGAACAACCTGAACATCCACTGATGGATGAGTGGATAAAGAAAATGTGGTCTATACAGACAACGGAATATTATTCAGCCTTTAAAAAAAAAGGTGGCAGGGGGTGGGGGCAGGTGCGGTGGCTCACGCTTGTAATCCCAGCACTTTGGGAGGCCAAGGTGGATGGATCACTAGATCAGGAGTTCGAGATCAGCCTGGCCAACACAGTGAAACCCCATCTCTACTAAAAATACAAAAATTAGCTTGGCGTGGTGGCAGGCGCCTATAATTCCAGCTACTCGGGAGGCTGAAGCAGGAGAATCACTTGAACCCAGGAGGTGGAGGTTGTAGTGAGCCAAGATCACACCACTGCACTCCAGCCTGGGCGACAGAGCTAACCTCCGTCTCAAAAAAACAAAAAACAAAAAAAGGAAATCCTGTCACTACAATATGAATGAACCTTGAGGCCATTATACTAAGTGAAATAAGCCAGTCCCAGAATACAAATACTGTGTGATTCTATTTAGATGAGGTAGCTAATGTAGTCAAAATCAAAGCAGCAGAAAGTAGAATGGTGGCAGCCACAGAGCAGGGAGGAGGGGGAGAGGGGCCGTTGGGTGGGAGGAGGAGGGGGAGAGGGGCCGTTCGGTGGGAGGAGGAGGGGGAGAGGGGCCGTTGGGTGGGAGGAGGAGGGGGAGAGGAGCCGTTCGGTGGGAGCAGCATTTTGGTTATGGAAGATGAAAAATTTCTAGAGATCTATTGTACAACAGTGTCCATATAATTAACAATATTGTATTGTACACTTTAAAATTAGTTGAAAGGGTAGATTTTGTTGTTGTCATTGTTATAAAAAAGACCTTTATTCCAAATCAGATCACATTCTGAGATTCTAGGTGGACACACCTTTTTTGGTGGGTCCCTATTCAACCCACTACACATGTATACACAGCTGTGGCTCACCTGTACCAGACACACAAAGCAGTTGTCCGCTAGGACCAAGCATCCCAGTTTGCTCAGAACTGTCCCAGTTTTAGCACTGAAAGTCCTGTGTCCCATGCAAACCAGGATGTTTGGTCACCTTAATGTTGGCTCAGAAAGATTTAGAATTATTATACAGTATTAACAAAAGAAATCAAAATATTTAACCAGGGATGACTGGAGGATTGGAGGAGATACCTAGACAGAGGGGCTCGGACTGGTTCAAATGTCAGGTCTAATCCTCCCGGGCTCTGCTTCCTGTGTGCTGACTTGTATGTCTGTACTTAAACTGTTTCAGCAGTCCTAACAGTGCACTCTGGAAACATGGCTTCTCAGGGCCATGCTGCTAACTTCCCTCACATTGGTCTAAAATCCCAATTTTTAAAAAAAAAACTTTATTATTATTATTATTATTATTATTATTATTATTATTATTATTATTTGGAGATGGAGTCTCGCTCCATCACCCAGGCTGGAGTCCAGTGGTGTGATCTCGGCTCACTGCAACATCTGCCCCCTGGGTTCAAGTAATTCTGCCTCAGCCTCCTGAGTAGCTGGGACTACAGGCGTGTGCCACCATGCCTGGCTAATTTTTTTTGTATTTTTTAGTAGAGATGGGGTTTCACTGTGTTAGCCAGGATGGTCTCGATCTCCTGACCTTGTGATCCACCTGGCCCGGCTTCCCAAAGTGCTGGGATTACAGGCATGAGCCACCGCGCCAGGCCTGTTATTATTTCTTTACAGACGGGGTCCTGCTGTGTCACCCAGCCTAGAGTGCAGTGGTGCAATCATGGCTCACTGCAGCCTCAACCTCCTGGGTTCACGTGATCCTTCCACCCCCATGTCCCGAAGTGCTAGGATTATAGGCATGAGGCACTGTGCCTGGCTCCTGAAATTCCTGTCTTTATTGCCAGTCTTTAAGGATCTTCCTGGTGATTAGGACAAGCTTCTAAATCTGTGTTGAGCAATAAAAAGCTGGGCTATAAGAAATGTCCCAAAATACCCAGACAACCAGCATCAGGCTGCAAGTCTCCTGAATTCATTCTTTAAAGCTCCCTAAAAATATCACCCACAACCCAGAAATATCTGTCACCCCAAAACGTTTAAGGAGACACATTATATATTCTCACTCGTAAGCCTCAATTTAAGAATTCCTCAGAATATGTTCCAAGTCCTTGGAGTTTGTAACTCACTTGGAATTCTTGCTTCTTTATCACTTTTCTCCTTTTGTGTGTGTGTGTGTGTGTGTGTGTGTGTGTGTGTGTGTGTGTGTGTGTGCATTACTTAGCTGTCGCCAGTAGTATCTGTTCTTGGCTGCTTGTGGCTTAATACGTGGCTGAGCAGAGCTATCACATATGCCTGCATTTGCAGGTAACTCCAGTTGAGCTTTTCTGCACACACCAAAATAAGAAATGAGATTTCAGAAAAGAGTAAAATTACCTCTGAGACTGCTGCACTGAGAAAGGGCACTCACAGGGTTGTGCCTCAACTCAATCCACAGATTAGTCCTCTGCTCTACGGTGTACTTCGCAATGCTGGGCTTGTAACATCCAAGAAGCAATTAAGATGCCCAGTAATAAAGAAAAAACACATCCTTTCAGTGTAATAACCTTTGTTATTCTGAATGTATACACTACCAGCTGCACACATTCTTGTGTGTTGATACCACAGCTGACTTTCTTAGTAGAGAAGATGGCCACAGTGAGGTAAAAGCAGTGAGCAAGGAATTTCACACGTGAAGAATATTTGTATCATAGCTTAGATGTGGCAGGCGGCGAGGAGGTTTGTGCAGAATGAAATGCATATAGCAGGAGCTGAGCATTTAGGGGAGACACTGCAAATCCAAATCAAACCTTGCTTTCTTGAATACCTAGTATTAGCATATGCACTGTGGAGAAGAAGTGCATATACTAAAAAGGATAAGGATAAGACCAGGCCCACAGGGGGCCTGCCCTTCAGTCACATGTTAATAAAAGTGTCTGCATTTAGTGAGGTTTACTATATGCCATGAATTTTCAGTTACTAAACACAACATTCTCTCACTGTACAGATAAGGGAACTGAGAAAGTCATAGGCTCAGGGGCACACAATTAGAAAATGGTAAAACAGGCCAGGCACAGTGGCTCACATCTGTAATCCCAGCACTTTGGGAGGCCAAGGCAGGTGGATCACAAGGTCAGGAGTTCAAGACCAGGCTGACCAAGATGGTGAAACCCCGTCCCTACTAAAAATACAAAAATTAGCCGGGCGTGGTGGTAGGCGCCTGTAGTCCCAGCTAATCGGGAGGCTGAAGCAGGGAATTGCTTGAACCCGGGAAGCGGAGGTTGCAGTGAGCCAAGATTGCGCCACTGCACTCCGCGTGGGTGACAGAATGAGACTCCATCTCAAAAAAAAAAAGAAAGAAAGAAAGAAAGAAAAGAAAATGGTAAAAGATGGATTCAAATCCTGGACTGACTCCAAAGCTTATTCTCTTTCCACCAGGGTCTGTTCCTGGGAGTGGAATGGCAGAACTGTGTGGTAATAGAGGTAAGAATAAATTGCTTTCAAAAGTTGTGCCAAATTACAGTCCTGCCAGCTGTGTATGAGAATTTCCACTGACCAATATCCCTTGTCAGCACTTAATATTATCAGACTCATATTTTCACCAGTCTGGTTGGTATCAAATGGTATATCATTATGGCTTTAATTTGGGGTTCCTAAATTCTGATGATTAGGTACCTTTTCATAGGTTTATTAACTATTCCTATTTTCTCTAAAATCCCTGTTCAAGTCCTTTGCCCATTTTCTTTTGAGTATCTTTTTCTTATTTAATAGTTCTTTACATACTCTAAATACAAATCCTTTTTCAGTTATATATATTGCAAATAACTTCTCTAAGTTTGTGGATCTCTTTTACTTTATGGTGTCTTTTGATAAACTGATATTCTTTGTTTAATACAGTCAAATTTAGCAATCATTAATTCATGGTTTATGCTTTTTGCTTATGCTTTAAAAAGTCATTCTTGGGTCGGGCAGGGTGGCTCATGCCTGTAATCCTAGCACTTTGGGAGACTAAGGCAGGCAGACGGCTTGAGCTCAGGAGTTCGAAACCAGCTTGAGCAACATGGCAAAACCCCATCTCTGTATAAAATACAAAAGAAATCAGCCAGGTGTGGTGGTGTGTGCCTGCAGCCCCAGCTAGTCTCAGTCCTAGCTGAGGTGGGAGGATCACTTGGGAGGACGATTTGAGCCTGGGAGGTCACGGCTGCAGTGAGCGCTGATCACGCCACTACACTCCAGCCTGGGTGACAGAGTGAGACCCTGTCTTTAAAAAAAAAAAAAAAAAGTCATTCTCTACACCACTCATGAAAATATCTTCCTATATTCTTCCCTAAACTGTTTAGAATTTGCTTTTCACATTGATGTATTTGGTCTACTTCAAACTAATTTTTTGTATATAGGATATGTGAGGACCTTCATTGCAACCTCTTGAAAATATGATTTTTAAGTTGTCTCAGCACTATTTATTGAATAATCCTTCCTTCTCCCACTTGTCCACAATGTTTATCTGCATAACCAAGTTTCCTTACGTAGAAGTCTATTTCTAGCTATCTATTTTGTTCCATCGGTCTATTTGTTTCTCCCAGTGTTAATAACATCGTGTCATAACTATTTATTGCTTCATAATAAGTCTCTCCGTATTTCTCAACTTTTTTTTTTTTTTTTTTTTTTGAGATGGAGTCTCACTGTGTCACCCAGACTGGAATGCAGTGGCAAGATCTCCACTCACTGCCAGCTCCGCCTCCCGGGTTCACACCATTCTCCTGCCTCAGCCTCCCGAGTACCTGGGACTACAGGCGCCAGCCACCACGCCTGGCTAATTTTTTTTTGTATTTTTAGTAGAGACGGGGTTTCACCGTGTTAGCCAGGATGGTCTCGATCTCCTGACCTTGTGATCTGCCCGCCTCGGCCTCCCAAAGTGCTGGGATTACAGGCGTGAGCCACCGTGCCTGGCCAGGGCTCTTTTTTTTTGTTTTTTTTGAGACGGAGTCTCGCTCTGTCCCCCAGGCTGGAGTGCAGTCGCTCGATCTCGGCTCTCTGCAAACTCTGCCTCCTGGGTTCACACCATTCTCCTACGTCAGCCTCTAGAGTAGCTGGGACTACAGGAGCCCGCCACCACACCTGGCTATTTTTTGTATTTTTAGTAGAAACGGGGTTTCACCTTGTTAGCCAGGACGGTCTCGATCTCCTGACCTTGTGATCTGCCTGTCTCAGCCTCCCAAAGTGCTGGGATTACAGGCGTGAGCCACGGCATCCAGCCTGGGGCTCTGTTTTTTTTTGTTTTGTTTTTTTTTTAAGAACAATAATCTAGAACAAGTTGGCATGACACTGAGACCAAAAGTTTCCATTTTCTTTGAATAACACTTAAATAGTGTTAACAGTGAAGAGATCACAGTGAACTCCAGTTCTCTGTTTGCCCGAACAGAAAACAAAGATGTAGTCATTTGGGGCAAGAAGCATATATGTTTAACCACAAATCCAACTATTAGAGATACCAATAAAGACAGTCATCAGCATTAGTGAACATTCACTCTATGCAGTAGTGTTTTACGTACATTGTCACATTTAGGATGTTGCTGAAGATATAAGAAAGGAAAAAAATAGAAGAGACGGAGTATCTTTTTTAAATGGTCATTTACCTTAAAAATGTCTTTTTAAAAAGAGCTTAGAATTCTTTGGTGATAGACCTCGTAATATACATGCCAAGCACTGCTGTTTTATAAAACACAAGTCTATCATGGAACACACTTTGAAGAGAGAAACAATACACTATTGTGTCTAGCAAAGTTTTGGTCAAAATCTCAGTTTTGCATGTGTTTGTATTTAGAGAAATAAGTCTGCCTTAACAATTCTTTAATCAGTGGCATAATAACTTAGAAGCTGCCATCTGTGAGTTGAATCATCTACATACTGGAAAAAACTGCTGAAGATCCTGAGGGAAAAGGCTCAGCGTGAGAAAGCTAAGCAGACACACACAGAACGGACCACAAGATGACAAAAGAACCGGTTAACTCCTCCAATCAGCCAAAGTTATTTCACATTCTGACGTCTGTTAACTAACTGTGTTTCTCTTCTTGTCAAAATGCATTTTTTGGAATCAGCCACACTGGTGAAATGATGGATGCTAGACTCTAGGAGAAGAATCCTCCACAGTGCTTACCTTTTTTGGGGAAATGGGTCTGGCAAGTCCCATGTCTCCCAAGGGGTCTAGGAAGCCTAATAGTCTATAAGCTCCTAGACCAATTAACCTGAGTCCTGAGGGCAAGATGCAAATGAAATCAACAGCAGGCGCTGCCTTTCATCTTTCTCTCCCTAGTGCCCTCCTAGCACATACTAAGTATTCCATCAGTGTTTGTGAGATGTATCTGCGTATCTCTTTGAACAGTTCATGATAGATGCCTGCAAACTGCTCACTAGAGCGTGTCAATGCATCAACCGTGCTAACATTATGACTACTGAGTGAGAAGGGAAGCACCGAAGTGCCAAGAACCCAAACCTAGAGCTCGATACAGCACTGATGAAGGAGGCATGGCTTCAGATGCAAGCCCTCTGCCTTCCCTTCCGAGTGGAACAAGCAATCAGGATGTGAACCCCTGCGTAAAGAAACACAAGATTTCAGAGAAATTAACAGCTTGGAAGAAGGAGCACAAGCAGAGGGTGAAGCAGAAGGCATCAGCAATCCACTCTTCAGGGCTAACGAGGGACCCACCTCCCAGTGGATGTTTCTCCTACCGTACTGGGGCTACAAAAGCAGTGACCTGTAAGTCTGATGCAGTCTTCTGAAGTTCGCTTGTCATGACACTCCTTGACTGCACCCCGCCATGAATCACTGAATTACAAGGATGATGGTAATAACAAGAACAATGAATACTTACAGAATTTTTCTTATGTGCCAGGTATGGTTCTAAGTGCTTTAACATACACACATATGAACTAATGGGGATGAAGTTCTCTCCCTAACTAAACCCTAAACACTGGTTGGAATGTCACTGGTGTTGAGGCTGCATGTGAATAGAGCAGCCTGCTCTGTGAAATGAACATCTGTCTTTCATCCTTCTAAAAATTCCATTCTACTTCCAGAGAAAGACTCAAGAGTCTCTCATTAAGAACTCATTCCTGGCCAGGCGCAGTGGCTCACGCCTGTAATCCCAGCACTTTGGGAGGCCGAGGTGGGAGGATCACTTGAAGTCGGGAGTTTGAGACCAGCCTGGCCAACATGGAGAAACCACGTCCCTCCTGAAAATACAAAAGTTAGCCAGGCGTGGAGGTGCATGCCTGTAATCCCAGCTATTCGGGAGCCTGAGGCAGGAGAATCGCTTGAACCCCAGAAGGTGTGGGTTGCAGTGAGCCAAGATCGCGCCATTGCACTCCAGCCAGAGCAACAATAGCGAAACTCCATCTCAAAAAAAAATAAAAAACAAACAAATAAACAAAAAAAGAACTCATTCCCTCACTGCAGACTCTACCTGGAAAAGAAATTAAAAAGTGACGCACAGGTAGATGTTCAGAAGACCCGCCCCATGTCTTCCAATGTCTCTTAAAAGTCAGCAAGGAAGAAGCAGCTCTCACCAAGGAAATAAAATTGTATGCAAAGCAAAATCACAGGTAATCAAAATGAGAAGCCCCTGAACTTTTCTTCCATCAGCCGGACAGTTGCTTTCATAGTGGCTGTCTCCTATGTTCTGTACAATAATGATTCCTGTGTATTTCGGTGTATATATCACATGAGAAAAATAAGGCTCTCCAAAGACAAACACAAAGACATGCCCGATCTGTGTGTCAGCATGGGAATCAGAGGTAATAATGTGCTCGTCACACCTCAGTGCAGACAGGATATTTGAAAAATGTTAACAACACTTATCAGTGACCAAAGGAGCATGAGGCAAACTGCTGTGGAGAGAAATAACTCTAGTGTTGGATCCAGGGGCCATCGGTATCTCCCAGATTTTGGGCTTCTGCATGTGAAAACCATCAAGAAATACAAGGGTTGAGCCGGGCATGGTGGCGCACGTCTATAACCCCAGTACTTTGAGAGGCCAAGGTGGGTAGATTGCTTGAGCCCAGGAATCTGAGGCCAGCCTGGGCACATGGCAAAACCCTGTCGCTACAAAAAATACAAAAACTAGCCAGGCATGGTGGCGCATGCCTGTAGTCCTAGCTATAGAGAGGCTGAGGTGGGAGGATCACTTGAGCCCAGGAGGCAGAGGCTGCAGTAAGCTATGATCACGCCATTGCATTCCAGCCTGGGCAACACAGCTAGACCCTGTCTTGAGAGAAAGAAAGAAAAGAGAGAACGAGAGAAAGAGAGGGACAGACGGAGGGAGGGAGAGAGGGGGAGAGAGGGAGAGAGAGGGAGGGAGGGAGGGAGGGAGAGAGAGAGAGAGAGAGAGAGAGAGAGAGAGAGAAAGAAAGAAAAAGCAAGCAAGCAAGCGAGCGCGAACAAGCTGGGCGCGGTGGCTCATGCCTCTAATCCCAGCACTTTGGGAGGCCAAGGTGGGCGGATCACCTGAGGTCGGGAGTTCGAGACCAGCCTGACCAACATGGAGAAACCCTGTCTCTACTAAAAATACAAAATTAGCCAGGCCTGTAATCCCAGCTACTCGGGAGGCTGAGGCAGGAGAACTGCTTGAACCTGAGAGACGGAGGTTGCGGTGAGCCGAGATTGCACCATTGCACTCCAGCCTGGGCAACAAGAGTGAAACTCCATCAAAAAAGAAAAGAAAGAAAGAAAGAGAGAAAGAGGAAGGAAGGAAGGAACGGAGGAAGGAAGGAAGGAAGGAAGCAGGGAGAGAGGGAGGGAAGGAAGGAAGGAGAGAGAGAGAGAGAAAGAAAAGAAAGAAAGACAGAGAGGAAGGAAGGAGGGAAGGAAGGGAAGGAAAGGAAGGAAGGACAGGCAAGAGTTGACATCTGTGACTCTGTGATTGCATCTGTTAGCCAATCAGTCATCAATAAGCATCTACAGAGAGCTATGTCCAGAGTCCTAGGCTAAAAGACAAGAAGGCTATTGAGTTAATAATCTAATAACAAAGATACTGTGGCTGAAGTCCAGAAACTTAATGATGTGTGTCTGCAGTCGGGAGCTTGGTTCTGTCTGTGTGGGTTGAGCACCCACCCCATCCAGGCCCAGTACAAGGGAATGCCAATACAATTAAGACACAGATGCCAGCATGACATTTACACTTGGCAGAAGGTAACAGATGTGTGAGAAGTACTTCCCTCTTCCTGCCAGTCAAAGGAAGGAAATTCCACCAGGTGGTGTGAGCACTGACCGCAAACCGGTACACATGCCTCCAAAGTTGTTAATCCTATAGGCCTCGTTGAAATGCATGTATTAAACATGTTCTATTTATAAAATGTCAAAGTATACTTATTGCTTATTCCTTCCAGTTCCCTAGAGGGAGTCCAACACACTCACTTCTCTTCTTACAGGTACCTGAATCCCAGAAAAGGTAAGTGACCTGCACTTGGGCCAGGAAGTTAGCAGAAAGACTAGGATAAACCTCCAAGCACCTGCCATGGGTGCTGGCCACACTCCATATCTCAGTACTGCACTGGCCTGAATTACATTATGCTCTTCAGTGACAGAAAGGCCCAAGAATGTTGCATACTTACAGATTAACCAGCACTGTTTCCTGATTCTGCAGGCCACGCTTCTACCGAAGCCTATGGGAAATGAAGGGAGGGGCAGGCAAACAGCCCACTGAGAGAGTCCAGCTTCTCACCATCAACTCCACCAGTGTTCTGTTACCTCCTCTCCTTGCCTGGCTCATCAGGCTCTCCTCCGACCCCATCCCACCAAAAAAGCAGCAGGAGGTACATCCTTTCACCTCTCAGATAAATGAACAGCATCCTGTCCCACTATGCTATGCCTCAGTTGTGCCACACTTCAAGAAACTCAGTAGAGAAAAGCTCACCTTTTTTTTTTTTTTTTTTTTTTTGAGACAGGACCTCGCTCTGTCACTCATGCTGGGGTGCAGCAGTGCAATCTTGTCTCACTGCAGCCTTGACCTCCTGGGCCTAAGCAATCCTGCTGCCTCACCCTCCCAAGGAGCTGGGACTACAGGTGCATGCCACCATATCTGGCTAATTTTTTTTGTATTTTTTCCAGAGACAGCATTTTGCCATGTGGCCCAGCCTGGTCTTGAACTCCTGAGCTCAAGCGATCTGCCCACCTTGACCTCCCAAAGTGCTGGGACTGCAGGCATGAGCCAGCCTGCCTGGCCAAGCTCACCCTGTCCATTAATTATCAACATTCAAGAGGCTTCTGAACATCATAGGAGGTTGACTAGCAGGTTCTCAGTGGGTGAAGTTTGCTTTTAGTGACCAGGCACAACCAAACCCAGTATTCTCTCCCCTGTTCTTTAGTATCAGCATGCTCACTTCCTCCGGCCTTATTCTCTAGAATCATGACAACTGATCTGACAAGGGTATTTATGTTCATTGAACTGGCCCTCACAACCCTGCCTGGTAACACGTGTGCATTTCAGCGATGGAGCCTCAGTCCTCACCGTCCAATGGGAAGGGATGTGGTGGGGCGGGGAGGCCAGTGAGATAAGACATTGGATATCATGATTACTCCATCTCTATTCCTCAGTCCGCACCACCTAGGCAGGCACTGTTGGGGCTAAGCTCCAACAAATGTACAACAATGAAGAGATAATAATGTACAAAAATGAACAGAAGAACTGAGTGGGGAAACACCTTAAGAAATCACCCATTCCAAAGCCACTTCTTTCAGTGATAAGCAGAATGCAGCCAGCACTGCCATGTAACTTCCCATACCCACCCAGCTAGGGGCACAGCTTGAGGTCTAACATCTCCCAACCCATGGAGCAGGCTCAGCGCCTGGGGGGCTGTTGCAGAAACTGGACTGGCACACATGTTGCACGAAGCGAGGGGCACCTGTGATTTTTATGTGGCCTTGCTTTTACTCTTCATGCCAGAGGCCGATCAGCATGCCACACACTGCAGAGGGCTCACGCATGGGAAAACCGGAGCGGAGATGGGTTAAGCAACCTGGCAGACACACGGTGAGTCAGCAGCCATCACTTCTGCCTCTGCCTCCCAGCCACTTGCTCTCACCCCCGCCCGTGGGTCCTGCTTGTTCTGATTTCATGCCCCCCCACCATGCTGTGCTCCTGTAGCTGCCTTGCTATGGTTATCCTTGGCAAACCCCAGTGTACTGTTACCCCAGGCCCGGGTCAGATGCTGTGAGAAGGCTCTTGGAATGAGACGCCACAGCTCCACGCAGAGCAGGTGGAATTTGGAAAGGGGCCAGTTGCTAATCACAGTAAGACAAACTTTCATTTTAGTCTCTATTTTATGGATCCCATTTGTTTACCTGCTCATTTTTGCAGGTTAGCCAGGAATGAGCTTTGATCCTGCTCCAATACCAACACCACTGTTTGCCCACGGCATTCAGCAAAGGAAGCTTGGTGAGAGAGGCAGGTCAGAAATGAGCTCCTGCTTTGGGTCCCCAGGGCACCCAGGCCTCCTCCCGCATGCACTCTGGTACCTGAAGTTCACATCTCACGGGGCCCCAGAGGCCCAGTATGGTTGTTTGTCTCTTCTGTGTCAGACCTGCCTTTCAGTGGGATGGACAGCAGCTCCTAGAAGGGGCTCTGTCTTACACCTCTGGACGCTGGGGCTTCATGTACAGCGAACTCCATAAACACCGTAGGTGGTGACGAGGAGGAGGAAATCATAATGAAAGCAAGGTGATGACAAACTCAGCACTGTCTAGAACAGTAGCCACGTCAAGCTCCCTAGGACCCCAGGCCTGGGCTGCTCTCAACTCACCACCGGAGAATGTGACAAGATCGAGAAGCTTCTGAGCAACATTTTTTTTTTTTAAGACAGAGTCTCACTCTGTCACCAGGCTGGAGTGCAGTGGCATGATCTCAGCTCACTGCAACCTCCGCCTTCCCGGTTCAAGCAATTCTCCAGCCTCAGCCTCCCGAGTAGCTGGGATTACAGGCATGTGCCACCATGCCCAGCTACTTTTTGTATTTTTAGTAAAGATGGGGTTTCACCATGTTGGCCAAGCTGGTCTTGATCTCCTGGCCTCAAGTGATTCGTCCACGTTGGCCTCCCAAAGTGCTGGGATTACGGGTATGAGCCACTGCACCCGGCCTGACCAACTTTCTTGATCACAAATATCTACCCCTGTCCTCTGCCACCTAAGCAAGGGCCACTGTGATGCTTCTAGACACGGGAGGGCTTTGGTGGGAAGCTATTTCTCCTGTCCAGCCTTCCTCCAGGCTGATGTGCAGCAAAGCTTTTCACACGACGGGCCCTGAAGAGTAACTCGTTTAACGACAAAAATTCAAGGACCATGGAGAAAAGTGTTCCAGTCTCTTCCCACTCATTGAGAGGTGAGCTGAGATGACATTTCAGATGCCCACACACGTATTCCCTCGAGGCAGGGGATATCATCTGTCAATCCCATGTAAACAAAAGGAGTCAAACTCTGTAAAATGTTTGAAGAGACTTATTCTGAGCCAAATATGAGTGACCGTGGCCTGTGACACAGCCCCAGGAGATCCTGAGAATGCGTGCCCAAGTGGTCGGGCTATAGCTTGGTTGTATACATTGTAGGGAAACACAAGAGGTCAATCAATACATGTAAGATGTACATTGCTTTGGTCCTGAAAGGCAGGACAACTCAGAGGATTGCTGAGGGGGTTCCTGGTCACAGGTGGATTCAAACACTTTCTGATTGGCAATTGGTTGAGTTTATCTAAAGACCTGGAATCAATAGAAGGGAGTGTCTGGGTTAAGATAAGGGGTTATGGAAACCAAGGTTCTTATTATGCAGATGAAGCCTCCAGGTAGCAGGCTTTGGAGAGAATAGATGGTAAATGTTTCTTATCAGACTTCAAAAAGTGCCAGATTCTTAGTTAATTCTCTACTGGATCAGGAAAAAGACCTGGGAAGGGAAGGAGATTCTCCACAGAATGTAGATTTTCCCCACAAGAGACAGCTTTGCAGGGACATTTCAAAATACATCAAAGAAATATATTTTGAGGCAAAATACTTTTATTTCTTTTGGGGCCGGCTATCTGTCAAGTTGGTATCTCATTGCTACAAAGAGTCCGCTTTGTCAGTCTGAAGTCTCTATTTTAATGTGAATGCTGGTCAGCTGTGCCTGAATTCCAAGGGGAGGAGGCTGTAATGGAGGCACGTCCCACAGCCCATTCCCATCACCGCCTGGATTAGCATTTCAGGCTGACTTTAGAATGCCCTTCGCGGAGAGGAGAGGTCCATTCAGTTGGTTGGGGAGCTCAGAATGTTATTGTTGGTTTATACCCACCTGGGTCTTACAAAAAGTCAACCAACTCTCCTAAAAGTGGGGAAGGCTGAGCAGCACTGGCCAGGGGCAAGGACACAGGACCTCAGCACTGCAGCCCTCAAGGGCTAACCTTGGCCTCAGCTTCCTCATCCGGACGATGGGGCTGTTGGACTCAGGGAAGATGAAGGTCCCTTCTAAATCTAACATTCAACATTTTGCTTCCAGGTGTCCTGAGACAATGTGCACATCAGCTTCTTGTTTGCAGCTAGTACATGTCATGGACCCAGGTTACGTAAAGTCAACTCAGGATTTGATGTCAAATCCCAAAATGTTAGCCATATTCCTGGTCTGCAGCAGGGGTGACCTGGGAGCCATTTGAAGAGAAGGATCTTAGATTTTACAGATGAGAAATGTAAGACCTTGAGACGTCAAATAGCTTGTTCGAAGTCACACAGCTGAGAAGGGCATACCCAAATCCCGGCCCTTTCCAGCACAAGGCAGGTAGGAAGGAGGGAGGGTAAGCAGCAGAACACCAAAGGCAGAAACCAATAAAAAGGAAGGAAAACTTCCTTACAGTGGCTTTAAGTGACTCATTTAATCTCTTCATGCTTCCTCATTTCTACTTCTCAAGGAAGTATTTCAACCATTTACTAACTTTAAGTACCATGAAGGAATGGGTTATGTGAAACCAAAGAAGAACCATGTCTAACAATTTAGAAATTGCTACTCTCTGGGCAAAAAAATAAGAATACATTAGTGGTACCATCTTGTTAAAGGGAAAAAAACAATTTCCATGTCCCCAGATTTTCTTAAATGGTTTTTATGTGAGATTTTGCATCTATAATATACTGCTGCCTTCAAGAGTTTGTTTTAACTCTCAGAACAGGAATATCTCAAAAGAAGACAAACTGATTTTTGTAAGAGAGCCTGGCAGCACTGCCTTCTGGATCTGCCTTTACAGCACGAAGCCACTGGGTCAGCTCATGTGTGGGCAGTGGGTTGTAAAGGGCTGTGTAATCGTACCAAGCAAAAAACATACAAATCACATGATGTACAAAGTGCTTTTGAGAATGAGCATGTGAAAATAAGGGAGGGCTCTCCAAAAGGAAAACTCACAACCTGACCATGTTTCTGATTTCAATCTAAATGGGTTTCACACAGCTCCAATCAGGAATCTCAACAGGAATGTTCAGAGACTTCTCCTCCAAAGGACACTGGCTGTAATGAAGCTGGACACTTAGTTGATTTTGGCCGGTGGAGAGATGGATAGAGGGTGTGTTGGCCCATGTTGCGCTGCTATAACACAATACCTTGGACTGGGTAATTTATAAAGAGCAAAAACTCATTTCTTTGCAGTTCTGGAAACTAGGAAGTCCAGGATCAAGAAGCCAACATCTGGTGAGGGTCTTCTTGCTGGGTCATAACATGGTGGAGGGCATCACATGAACAAGAGAGAGCAAGAGAAGGAGGCTAACCTCATCTTTTTATCAGAAACCCAAGATAATTCCCAAGATAATGACATTAATCCATTCATGAGGGCGAGTCCTCACCACCTAATCACCTCTTAAAGGTCTCACCTCTTAACACTGTTACGGAGGATGAAGTTTCCAACATGTGAACTTTCAGGGACACATTCAAACCACAGCAGAGGGAATGTTTACTTTTAAAGTAAAAATAGGGTTCGTTTTTGTTAAGAAAATGGAATTGCTATGTCATAAGCCATGCTCCTGAAAGGTATACAGTTCCAAACCTGAAACAGGCATGGCAAAAGCCCACACAAGAATAGCTGCCTGCATAGCCCCCAGGGTACAGCCCTCTTGGAATGCACTGGCAGCAAAGGACACGGGCCTCATGTGGGGCATCAGAACAGCTCCACAAAAAATTACATGTGATGTCATAGCACGTAACTGAGATCAATAAAAGGGGAAGACGTATTTCCTCCCCAGTCACTCTTCCCCCAGAACTAAGAACCTGCCATTCTTATATGCACTTTTGGAAATCTCCACAAGTATCTTTCAATAGGAACTGCTCAGACCCAAAACCTGAGCTCATCATTTCAGCCAGGATGCCTTTCAAAAATAAGTCATCATTCGAAAAGAATGTGTTATTTTTCCTTTAGCAAAAAGGAAAGCCCTCCTCCCCCAACCCCCTTTGTTAATTTTCATAGAATCGCCTTTACCCTCCCCCTGTAAAACATGAGGAAATTCCAATTTTTTGCTCTGGAAAGTTACAACGCCTGAGTAGTTCTGGGTACGATATCCAGCAGAAATTACTATATGTCTACCATGTGCCCAGCACGGCCACTTATGCCACCCTATCCATGGGACATATGCAACCTAATAAAATTCTAGAAATAAAGTTAATCAGAAAGAAAAACTACTGCTAAAGTCAATGCGTTACAGGTCATCTTCTCAGTAAATATTGAATGATCTAGAAAATGCCCATAATGTTAAAGAAAAAAAACAGCACTTCAGCTGGGTGCAGTGGCTCACGCCTGTAATCCCAGCACTTTGGGAGGCCGAGGCGGGCAAATTACGAGGTCAGGAGATCGAGACCATCCTGGCTAACACGGTGAAACCCCATCTCTACTAAAAATACAAAAAAATCAGCCGGGCGTGGTGGCGGGCGCCTGTAGTCCCAGCTACTCGGGAGGCTGAGGCAGGAGAATGGCGTGAACCCGGGAGGTGGAGCTGGCAGTGAGCAGGGATCGCGCCACTGCACTCCAGCCTGCGCAGCAGAGCGAGACTCTGTTTCAAAAAAAAAAAAAAAAAAAAAAAAAAAGCAGGACTTCAAAGTCTATAGACAGGAAAATTTAAAACAAAATTTTTTAATCTATATATAATTTAAGAATAAATATAAAAACTGAAAAGTCCTATAACCATTTTAAAAAATTAAGTTAGTAGTTCAAAATTGACACATGAATAATCCCCATGTCCAAATGCCTTTAGAGACAAATCCTACCAAACTGTATTAATCCAATCTTACGTAAACTCTTCAGAGAGTAGAAAAAGAGGAAACATACCCCAACTTATTTCCTAAAGCTAGTATCACTCTGAAACCAAACTAAATGAAGGGAGTGCAAGAAAAGAAAATTATAAGCCACATTCACTAGCAAACAGATGTGAAACTTCCAAATGAAATGTTAGCAAGTCAAATCCAGCAATATATTTTAAAATAATAATAATGACCAAAGCATCTTTGATGCAAATAATATAAAAATCATTTAACACTAAAAAAATCTCTTAATGTAACTCCTACATTAACATATTAAGAGGCAGGGCCCAGTAGCTCACACCTGTAATCCCAGCACTTTGGGAGGCCAAGGCGGGCAGATCACCTGAGGTCAGGAGTTTGAGACCAGCCCGACCAATATGGTGAAACCCCATCTCTACTAAAAATACAAAATTAGCTGGGCTTGGTGGTGGGCGCCTGTAGTCCCAGCTACTCGGGAGGCTGAGACAGGAGAACTGCTTGAACCTGGGAGGTGGAAGTTGCAGTGAGCCGAGATCATGTCACTGCACTCCAGCCTGAGCGACACAGCAAGACTCCGTCTCAAAAAAAAAAAAAAAAAATTAAGAAAAAAATTATCACCTCAATGGATGTAGAGAAAACATTTCATAAAATTCAATTCTGATTTATGAAATTTAAAAAATATTAGCAAACTGGGACAAAAATTTCCTGACCTTGATAAAGCATGTGTACCCATATCACACAGTGAACATCATACTTAATGGCTAAGTGATAGAAGCAGTCCCTTACAAAACTTAGAACTGACAAGGATTCCCACCATCATTACTTCTATTCAACATGGTTCTAGAGACCCTAGCTAGAAGAATATGACAAGAAAAGTCAATAAGAGGAATTAGGATTAAAAAGAAAGAGACATATTATCTGCAATTATGACAAAAGAGTCATAATTGCAGACATATTATCTGCAATTATGACAAAAGAGTCATAATTGCAGACATGATAATCTACATGGAATATTCAAGAGGATCCACAAGGTATTAGACTTAATAAAAGAGTTCAGTTTGTTATATATCTCATTAATAGTAAAAACCCATACAGGTCAACAGCAATCAATCAATTAGAAAATGTAAGTTTTAAAAAGAACAATCCATTCACAGTAACAAATAATAACCCTAAAGTACCTAAGAAGAATTCCAACAAAACATGTTAATGTCTTTATGGAGAATATAAACATTTACCGAAAGGTAATAAAGAAAACATACATGAATGAAGAGCTATATAATATGTTCATATATGGGAAAACCAATTTTCTTTTTTCTTTTTTTTTTTTTTTTTGAGACAAGGTCTCACTCCTGTTGCCCAGGCTGGAGTACAGAGGTGCAATCTTGACTCATTGCAGCCTCAAACTCCTGGGCTCAGGTGATTCTCCCACCTCAGCCTCCCTAGTAGCTGGGACTACAGATGCGCACCACCACATCCAGCTAATTTTTTGTATTTTTAGTAGTATTTTTAGCAGAGACGGGTTTTTACCACGTTGCCCAGACTGGTCTCAAACTCCTGGGCTCAAGTGATCTGCCTCCCAAAGTGCTGGGATTATAGGCATGAGCCACCAGGCCAAGCCAAGACCAGATATTTGTAAAGATGTAAATTATCCTTACATTAATCTAAAAATTCCAAGCAATTCTGACAGAAAAATTCATATACATTAATCTTAATATATATTAACCATATATATATATTTTTGGCAGAACTTGACAAGCCAGTCATAAGAGCCAAGAATCAATAAGACAAGGCAGGGGACAATTTATGCTATTAAATATTAAGATTTATAAACTCAATTAAATGGTGTGGAATTTAGTTCAGAGATAGATAACACAAACAGGAGAACTTGGTATGCCAGAGGAAGCATCACAAATCCATGAGGATATGATAGACCATTCAATAAACAGTGCAGAAACAACTGGCTACTTCTATGCCAAAAATGATAAATGAGATTCATATCTTTTACCAGTCACAAAAATAACCTCCAGTTAGGTTACAGTCTTAAATACAAAAAGGAATGTGTTAAAATTATTAGAGAAAGATATAAGGAGCTACCTTTATGAATGGGGTAGGCAAGGATTTTTTTGCATGATATTAAAATTATAAAGCGTTGAAAAAGACAGATATTACTGCTGGATGAGCAAAAGACAATATAAACACAGATTAGGAGAAGATATTTGAAATGAACATAACCGTGCAGAGAAAAGTTAAAATTAGAAAGTTAGAAGACCTGCCTGCAAGGTTGACTCTTGGCTGGCATCTGAGAACTTAAGATTTCAGGAGGGTTCCTACCATTCCTAGAACTGGTAAGAGTGACTCACTGTGCCTAAATATTTGTACAAATAGTGTGGTTTATGCTAAACACCTGCTTACCTTCTGAGAATCTGGAATTTGGGTACAGGCAAGGCAGAGAGGTTGCCTATATAACCAGCCCCCAACAAAAACCTTGGTCCCTAAGTCTCTAATGAGCTTTCCTGGTAGACACACTTCACACCTGTTGTCATAATGTGATGCTGGGGAAACGAAGTGTGTCCTATGTGACTGGAGAAGACTCTTGGAAGCTTGCACGTGGTTTCCTCTGGACTCCACCCTCTGTGCCTTTTCCCCTGGCTAATTTTGCTTTATATCTTTTTACTGTAATAAGTCTTTGCTGTGAGTAGGACTATAGGCTGAGCCTCTTGAGCAACCTAGTGAGTTACTGAGCCTAGAAGTGGTCTTGGGAACCCCCAATACGATAACAAAAGATTTACATTCAAATATCCTAAAATTCAATTACAATAATGGACACAAATAAGACAATACAATGAGAAAAAACACGGGCAAAGAAAATGAATAGGCAATTCTTAAAAGAGAAAACTCCCATGGTCAATAAAACTATGAAAAGATGTTCCATCTCAAAACAAGAAAACATCGTTTTATCCTCATCTGAGGATGGCAGGATTTTAGAATCTGAAAATATGGAATGGTAGTGAGATTTGCAGAGAAGCCATTTTGGAGAACAAACTGGCAACATCTAGTTAAGCTGAAGACTATGTATGTGTCCTGTGAGCCAGCACATTACATGACCAAGACAGGTATGAAGAGTTACTTGCACAAGTTTATTATAGCACCGCTTGTAACAGTGTCCATCACAGGAAGAAAAGCTAAGTAAATCAAGGTACAGTCATTCATCAGAAAGTTATACCACAGTTCAAATAAACCAAATGGATAGATAAATCTTGAAACTGTCAAGTTCTCAACTGATATGTGGAGCATCTTACCATATTAAATAATTTTAAAGCATACAAAATATACGGTATTGTACTTTACTATATATAATACGCCTACCTACAAAGAGATGTAGGTACCCATAAAAGTATGTAGGAGGCTAATTTTGGTTATCTCTAAGGAAAAAGAAAGTGCAACAGGATGGAAAGAAGAGGGAAATAAGAAGCCTTCGACAATAATGTTTCTATTAAAAAACACATCTGAAGAAAGTATGTCAACATGCTAAATATGCATGAAAGCTACACGGATCATGTTATATTATTTCCTATAGATTTAAATTTTTTAATATGTTTCATAATTTTTAAAATTTGATAGATATTTGGAGGATAATTTTTAACACAGATATTAAGTGGGAAAATAGGATTTCTTCTGTCTCGTGGTATAACAATTTATAGATAATCTAGGTAAGGTTGCCTTCAGATCAAATGTTAATATTATTCTAACCTGTCCTGGACAAACTCCAAAACAAAGCAATGCTTCCCAGATCAGTTCTGTGCATTCAGTATCCAAAATAAATTGCATTTTGATGCAGTGGCTCACGCCTGTAATCCCAACACTCTGGGAGGCCTAGGAAGGTAGATCACTTGAGCTCAGGAGTTCCAGACCAGCCTGGCCACCATGGTGAAACCCCATCTCTACTAAAAATACAAAAGTTAGCCAGGCGTGGTGGTGGGCACCTGTAGTCCCAGCTACTAGGGAGGCTGAGGCAGGATAATTAACCCGGGAAGTGGAGGTTGCAGTGAGCCAAGATCATGCCATTGCACTCCGGCCTAGGCGACAAGGTGAGACTCAAAAAAAAAAAAAAAAAAAAAATAGATTAACACATATGCACAAACAAGGGAGCCGACACAATGTCAATTGTTGTGAAACAGGAATTCTGTTTGGCCATTAAAACTCATCTTGTGGCTGGGCGCGGTGCCTCACACTTGTAATCCCAGCACTTTGGGAAGCCAAGGCGGGCGGATCACAAGGTCAGAAGATCGAGACCATCCCAGCTAACACAGTGAAACCCTGTCTCTTCTAAAAAATATACAAAAAATTAGCCAGGCATGGTGGCACACACCTGTAATCCCAGCTACTCAGGAGGCGCTTGAACCTGGGAGGTAGAGGTTGCAGTGAGCCGAGATCATGCCACTGCTCTCCAGCCTGGGCGAAAGAGCAAGACTCCATCTCAAAAATAAACCAAAAACAAACAAACACACAAAAATCACCTTGCTCCACCTGTTATAGACAGCTGCCACATTACCTCCTCTAACACTGCTTCACTTGCCCCCTGCCTTACTCAGCTAAAGCGAACTCACTTTCTTTGTTCTTATTTCAAACCTCTCTCTAAAAAGGCAACCTGCAGGAGTTTCTCCAGAGATATAAAATCTCCATGAAGGCTCCTTCAATACACAAGACAACAGAACATATTAAGTATATTCACATCCCACTGACTGGTTTCCACTCGGAGGTACAGACTGATTTACACTTGATTTCCTCGATCCATCATTTTCTGGCTATTTCCATAGGAGAATATATGTCAGAGATATTGGCAAACATCTCAGATGGAAAAGAAGAAATAAACTCACAAATCAAGTTCAGTTTAAACTACCGTGGGGATAATCACGTGTTCGCTTAAAGAGAGATTTTACGAGGAGGTTTAACCATAAAAGCGACAAAGTGTTATCGGAGCCTGCTGTGAAGAGCACGTGGGCTCATTACGATTTAGTTCTTGGCGTCAACAATCTTCATCACAGCAGAGCATGCAAAAGCAAGAGAGTGTCTGTGACCATGATTAATAGTTAGTGGATTTGGTGAGGATTGTTCCCAAGTTCAGGAAGTAACCAGAGTTCAGTCTCTGGCCAAACCTGTGTATCTTCATACAGGAAATGCTGTTCTAGGACAGTTACGGAAGCAGAATGCAACTCTGGAGGAGTGTGAGAAATCTAGAAGGTAAGCGTGCCTTCTCACGGGCAGGCGGAGGCATGCCAGGCGCCCTCAGTGATGCCGTGCTGAACGCTGGCTCTCAGTCCTCTGACGGCAGCTCCCTGCAAAAAGTCCTTCCACTGTCCAGACAGCGTTCCAGCTAATACTGCTGAAGTTCCCAAGTAGGTCGCCGTGTCTTTCTCAATGTGCTCAGTTATTTTGGGGTATAAAAGTATACTACCAGCATTTTTATCACACCGAGGGAAAAAAAAAAAGCAATGCATCTTAGCTGTAAGGCTCAGACTCACCCAGGCTGTTGAGCATAATGAAGCCATTTGGATGTGCACGGCCGTGTTGGCACTGTTGGTGCTGTGACTGATAGAAGTAGTTTTCCCTCATCTTCCCTTATCACCCAGTGAGACTGAGGACCGGAACCAGGGCTAACACGGGCTCTGGTGAGCTGAGGGCATCTGCTGCAACACTTCCCTGCAGAGAAGTTCAGAAAGGTACAGAGAGCAAAAGAAAAAATGGCCAGGATTTCTGCAGAATGTCACGATAAAATAGTGGTTGAGGCCACGAGGCTCCTCTCTGTTCCCTCTTCTCCAAACAGATGACTTAATTGTTCTGGGGCAAGGCCTGCCTTCTAGTTTAAGAGATGGCTGATAGTTCTTCAACATGTCTTCATGATTTTCCTAATACACCCAAAATCTAGTTTCCAGCCTTCAGGACCCTGCAAGTCTGCTCTGCATCCCTCGGGCCCACTTCCTCTTACTTCCATAAACAAGCTCGCTCCAGCGACAGCCCAGGGCTGCCACGCCATCGTGCCCTGCTTCTCGGGCAGAATGTCAGCCTCTTCTCTTCGTTAGCACGTCCTGCCTCAAACATTCACCAATTTTCTATTCCTCCAAGCATCTCAAATTTTATTTTTATTTTTTTTAAGATGCAGTCTCGCTCTGTCGCCCAGGCTGGGGTACATTGGCAGGATCTCGGCTGATTGCCACCTTCCCTGCCCAGGTTCAAGCGATTCTCCTGCCTCAGCCTCCCGAGTAGCTGGGATTATAGGTGAGCACCACCACGCCCAGCTAATTTTTTTTTTTTTTTTTTTTAGTAGAGATGAGATTTCACTATGTTGGTCAGGCTGGTCTCAAACTCCTGACCTCAAGTGATCCACCGGCCTTGGCCTCCCAAAGTGCTGGGATTACAGGCACGAGCCACCATGCCCAGCCAAAATTTTAAATATTAAAAAAAGAAAAGAAATCCTAAGCAGCCACAGTGGCAGGCACTGTTAAGAACACAGAAAACTAAGTGATTTACACTCTGAACAATCTGTCTAGATCTTTACCCTCTGGCCCCTCTGCACTTACAATCTACATCAGTGTCAATGTGGTGACATGTTGCTTTTTTAAGTTTGTGTGTGTGTGTGTCTGTGTCTGTGTGTGTGTGTGTGTCTGTATCTGTGTGTGTCTGTGTCTGTGTGTGTCTGTGTCTGTGTGTGTGTGTCTGTGTGTGTGTGTGTGTGTGTGTGTGTTCTGCCCTTACAAGCAAGCCTTTCAGGGCCCATCTATATATATTATAATGTCTCCAAAGAACCCAGTACACAGCTCTGCATACGCTGGAATTCCTTTGTCTTCTAACCAAAGAAAAGAGCCCAGATTTTTGTCTTAGGATGACTTGAAATTCACGATATTTAACAACTCTGTGGCATGGGCATCAATCAGAATGGATTCCTCAATGACTATGGGAGTGGGTGTGTGGGTGTCTGTCTTCCTACCAGAATATAAACCAGCTGGAGTGCTGAGCAGAGCCCTGGAGACCCACTGTGGGGTCAGGTGCCAACGCTTTCATTGCTGATTTGTGGGGAGGTCCCAGAGATCCCAGAGGCAGGGCCTGGGTGGTGGGGAGACTGGGACTCAGAGCAGCAGCTCTTGACCAACACGTGTGGCAGTGTCTCAATATTTTAACAGGTGGTGAGTGGTGTGGCCACCTGTATGTGTACCAGCTAAATATTCACCTTGCTGTTGATGCTGCTGAAGACGAGGATGATGAAGACAACAGCATTGCTCATCCCCAGACAGATCAATGATTCCGAAGAGCAGAGCGTTGGCTCAGGGGGCTCCACCTAAAAAGTGGAACTTTCTGAAAGGGGTTCTTTTCAAGAAGGACATTTGAAGAGGCAAAAATTCCAGGGCTGTATTTTTAAGTCCTTTATTCGGCTGTAAATCTTAAGTCCACCCACAGTTGATCAAGAAAGCCACACAAAGTTACTCTGCAAACCTTTCTTTTTTTTTTTTTTTTTCTTTTTTGAGACGGAGTCTCGCTCTGTCGCCCAGGCTGGAGTGCAGTGGCACGATCTCGGCTCATGGCAAGCTCCGCCTCCCAGGTTCAAGCGATTCTCCTGCCTCAGCCTCCTGAGTAGCTGGGACTACAAGCATCTGCCATCATGCCTGGCTAATTTTTTTTTTTTTTTTTGAGACGGAGTCTTACTCTGTCACCCAGGCTGGACTGTAGTAGTGTGATCTCGGCTCACTGCAATCTCCGCCTCTTGGGTTCAAGCAATTCTCTGCCTCAGCCTCCTGAATAGCTGGGATTGCAGGCACCCGCCACCACGCCCGGCTTTTTTGTATTTTTAGTAAAGACAGTTTCACCATCTTGGCCAGGTTGGTATTGAACTCCTGACCTCGTGATCCACCCGCCTCGGCCTCCCAAAGTGCCGGGGTTACAGGCATGAGCCACCGCACCCAGCAATTTTTTTTGTTGTTGTATTTTTGTAGAGATGGGGTTTCACCATGTTGGCCAGGCTGGTCTTGAACTGCTGACTTCAGGTGATCTGCCTACCTTGGCCTCCCAAAGTGCTGAGATTAGAGGCGTGAGCCACTGCGCCCGGCCGCTCTGCAAACCTTTGAAAGGTCTGCAGTCTAGACTGAGCCAGGTGTGTAAATAAAGCCCTACCCTCTGCTGAGAACCATTAACACATGTTCCAGGAAACTGAAATCTGACCAGGCATCACCCCATTCAGAAAGGGCAACAGCAAGACTCGGCATTCTCAAACTCCCCATCTTGGGACTCAGCCGAGGGGTGACAGCAGTCTGCACCATCGAGGGCTTTGATCATCAGTAGACCACCTGGTGGCTATCTCAGAGAGACAAACAGGCAGATTAGGCATCAGGGACAAAGGCCAGATCGCTCAGACAGACACCAGGCAAAGCCATGGACAGCTCTGACATCTGCAGACCCTCAGACCTTCCATTCAGATCCCGTCTGCTAAACAGGCAACTGCCTCCATCAAGTTCTTTTTTCTTCTGAGTGTTTCATCAGCCCACCGAGGCTCACAGGCTCCCTGCATGGAGTTCTACAGCTTTCAGACAGAAAAGAAACAACGAACCTCAGGACTGTGGTGACTGGAAATTCTTGAGCGTTTAAAACATTTCATCCTCTTTTCAGCCGATTTCACCCTTCTGACTTGTGATCTGGATAAACTGACTGCCATCATGAGCAGTCATGATGATAATCTCTGAATAAAGTAGAAGGGACTTAGAAGAACAGAAGGAATCGTTCATAGGAATAACAGGAGGACTAGGAAGTATCCAAGTCCAAAGCAGTTCTGTGTGTGTGTGTGTGTGTGTGTGTGTGTGTGTGTGAGTGTGCGTGTCTGTGTGTTCCTTCTCACAAACGTTTTCAGATAGTTTGAAGTCTGGTTACAAGGAACACCTAAGACAACAGTATGAAGAGAGAGGACAGAGAAGACGGGTGTCACATTGGAAGTCAGGGGAGGGGAGGGTCTCTTGCCATTTCATGAGTCTTCCTCTGTGTTCCATGACGTAAATGTCCCCCTCATTTTCTGGGCCTGGCTCCCTCTAGAACTCGACTAAGTACAATAAAATTGGTCTACAGCAAAAGTCTTTCCCAACTGCAGCTGAAGCTTAGAGTGCCATCCCATAGTCACAGAACTTTAAAAGCAAAATACTCACCCTTTCACGGATTTTACCCACCCACTACATATCATGACAATATGCAAGACGTCATTCCATATTTCCCAAGAAGAGACTCTGACGTATCTTGGATTGTCTTTCAGAGTAATGGAACAAATGGGCTTTTAGAAGAACATATAGAATGATATTTAGAAAAAAATATAAAAGGAGGCCAGGTACAGTGGCTCACTCCTACAATCCCAGCACTTTGGGAGGCTAAGGTGGAAAGATTGCTTGAGGCCAGGAGTTCGAGATCAGCCTGGGTAACATAGCAAGACCCAATCTCTACAAAAAATAAATAAATAAATAAAAATTAGCCAGGCATGATGGTGCATGCCTGTAGTCCTAGCTACTCAACAGGACAAGAGGCCGAGGCAAGAGGATTGCTTGAGTGAGGAGCTGGAGACTGCAGTGAGCCATGATCACACCACTGTATTCCAACCTGGACATCAGAGTGAGACCCTGTCTCAAAAGTCAAAAAAGGGAAAAATAAAAAATAGAAGGCTATAGAAAGGGTATCTTTCTTTTCCTTTCCTTTCCTTTCCTTTCTTTCTTTTTCTTCTTTTTTATTTTTACAAGACAGAGTCTCACTCTGTTGCCCAGGCTAGAGTGCAGTGGCATGATCTCGGCCCACTGCAACCTCCACCTCCCAGGTTCAAGCGATTCTCCTGCCTCAGCCTCCCGAGTAACTGGGACTACAGGCGTGTGCCACCATGCCTGGCTAATTTTTTTTTGTATTTTTATTACAGATGGAGTTTGTATTTCTTAGATAAACCACTCAAAAAGCATAAGCAATACAGAAGAATGGGGGTAAATTTGGCTTTATTGAAGTTAAAACTTTTGTTTAAAAAGACTCTTTAAACACTGTGAAAAGACCAACCACAGACTGGGAGGAGAAACACGTTATGCACATAGCCAACAAAAGATCCTTTTATGTATGTGTGTATATATATATGTGTGTGTGTGTGTGTGTGTGTGTATATATATATATGTATGTATATATATAGAATCCATACCCTACATCAGTAGGGACAACATATGCATCAAATGGAAAAATGGGCAAAGGATGTGAACATTTAGGTCATGGAAGGGGAAACACAACTGGCATTTGCAAAGATGGTCAATCTCACCAGGAACCAGGGAGATGCTCGTTAAAACAATGAGATAGCACTTCTCACCCATGTGATTGGCAAATATTTAAAGTTTGATAAAGACAAGTATTGGCAAGGGAGAAACAGGATGGGCATGTCCAACTGGAACAGCCACTTTGGAGAGCAATTTGGTGATAAGTTGTAAAGTTGAAGACATGTACAACTTATGACTTGACAGTTTACCTCCTCTCTCCTCTGAATATATCAGAGAACTTCCATGTAGGTGCAAAAGAATACATATGCAAGAATGCACACAGCAGCACTGTAGGTAACTGAGGGAAAAATCCGAAATGTCCATCCATAGGAGAAGTAAATAAACCACATATGGCTGGGCGCGGTGGCTCATGCCTGTAATCCCAGCACTTTGGGAGGCCAAGGCGGGCAGATCATGATGTCAGGAGTTCGAGACCAGCCTGAGCAACATGGTGAAACCCCGTCTCTGCTAAAAATACAAAAATTAGCCAGTTGTGGTGGTGCGTGCCTGTAATCCCAGCTACTCAGGAGGCTGAGGCAGGAGAATCACTTGAACCCGGGAGACAGAGGATGCAGTGAGCCGAGATCACGCCACTCCACTCCAGCCTGGGCGACAGAGCAAGATTCCATCTCAAACAAACAAACAAACAAACAAAAAACCACATATATATACAATGGAACACCATGCAGCTGCTAATACTATACATGTGTCAACTTGAATAAATTTCAAAAACATCATATTGAGTGAAAAGGCCAATTGCTGGTCATGCACAATATATAATTTACATACAACTTTTTATTAGTCCAATACAATGTATGTGTTTAGATTTCTTAGGTAGAATATCTAGCTCAAATGAGAACACCATACATGGGCTAGTTAACACAAGGGTAGACATTATCCTTTGCAAGGAAGGAGACCAGGAGTGGGAAAGGGCACCCTGAGCGCCTCAGCTAAATCTTTATTGTTTCATTCTTTAAAATAAAACGAGATTTGAAGTACATACGGCATAGCAGTAAGATCTGATAACGCTAATGCCGGACATTCAATATGTTCCCTATTTTGGGGGGGGAAGGCATAGAGACAGGGTCTCGCTGTGTAGCCCAGGCTGGTCTCAAACTCCTGGCCTCAAGAGATCCTCCAGCCATGGCCTCCCAAAGCACTGGGATTATGTTATTCTCTATTCTTATCTATGTGTTTGAAATATTTAAAAATAACGTGAGCTTTGAGATGCTATTTTAAATCTAACAGTCAGGCATTTTTCTCTTTTGTTTCCCAGGCAAAGACAGACATTCCAGGCAGAGGAAATAGTGTGATGAAAAGCACAGAGGATCTAGAAGGCGTGAGAATTTCAAGGAATGACAACGCCTGCATCTCGAATGGCTGGAGATGAGGCTGGGTGAGTCAGGAATGAGCCTTGAAGGCCACCTGAGAAATGGGGACTGAGCTCATACCACAGGCTAAGGGGATCCACCAGGGCCGAGTCCCCAAAGCAAGCACCTTCCAGACCTTCCAGAGGCTGCACCCAGTGCTCCCGCTGCCGCTGTGAAGCACTGCCCACAGGAGGGAGCGGGCAGCCAGCTGGGGCTGCCATGGGCCCTGGACGGGGCTGTGTCCGCCGCCATAGCAGCTGTTCCCGTGGACCTCCAGCTGTCCACAGGATGACACAGGTGGACACAGCGTGAGTCACTGTCTCCTGAGGCCATTGGGCTGCAAGGAAAGGGCAGGTTTGGGCCAGCTTTTAAGAAGGCCCTCGACTGTGACCTGTAAGGCACCTGGGAGCCCTTCTCCCACTTTGGGGGTCCTGGGATTCTGCTGCTGCTGCTTCCTCCCATGCTCTGAACACAGCAGTGCCAGCTGGTGCCCAGCTCCAAGTTCCACCTCTTCTCCTACTTAGAACCAGACCACCACGGACAGCCAACCTCCAGCCAGCAGGCTCTGGAGAAGCCGATCCAGCTGCCTCCCTCTGGCCAAATGAGGATCTAAAACCCACCGGCCGCTTTTCCTCTGTCGGGGCACCCTCTGGCTTCGTGGTCTTCCTCTGGCTCTGGCCATCCTGGTCATTCCACCTTCACTTCACAGATTAGGTCCCTGCTAATCTCTGGGAATGACACCTCTAAATCCTTCAGAGCTGCACTCAGGAAATTCCGACATTTACTGGTAACGGGAAGAAACTGCTCACTACCGATGATTTTCCTGACAGGTGTATTCTGACCCAATAAACAGCTGCTTAATAAGGCTTGGCAATACTCTGTTTCCCAATCCCCAGGCCCTGTGAGACCCAAGAGTAGGAAAAGGTGGAGATCCATGATCCCTGGGCGGGGACTCTGGGGGCAGGGACCTTGGGCCGGGCCAGAGTCCTTTATCTTTGAGCTCAGGGCACAGAGGAAGCAAGTTTCTTTCCACCTCATTCTCCAAGTCACTTCAGGCTCTCTGCCAGGCTGGTTCTGACCTTCCTCCAGCCTCCCTGAGCCACCTGGCCCACAGCCTCCAGCCTCCCTCTGGCAGGTCCCTGTAGCCTTCCAGCTCCCTCCCACAGCGGCATCTCCTGCCTCTCCCAGCTTCCCTAAATGTATTGTTGCTTTTCTGATATGGCTATATCTCACTAAAACTTCCCTTGTTGCTCTTCTCTGCTGTCTCCCCTCCAGCCCTAACAGAGCTTTTGGTAAAAATGTTAATATATCACGAGCCCCCTCCTACCTTTTTGAAATTTTCCCTAGAAGGAAAAAGATTAAATATAATCTCACGAGAGTCTGAGGGCAGTGGTATTTCTCCACATTCTATACACACTCGTATGTCTGTACATGTATGTGTATATGCAGCTTCCTCTAAACGAACCGAAAATGCAGGACTTTAAAATTCCAGGACTTATGAAATGGAAAACAAATTCTACAAACCCAAAGTTACAATTTTCAGACATTTCCACACTGAGGTATATACACTAAGGTGCGACTGATCAACCCAACTCTACAAATTACAGCAACTATGCCCTGCCTTCCCCTCCCCTAAGAAGAGAAAAATAAAGCGAATGTGGCCATGGAAGCGGCGAAAGTGGACTCAGGAAGTCGTTAGGCACCAGAATAACCCCTAGGGATGCAGAAAGACCACGTGGTTTTCACGGGAAATGACTCTCTTTTTTTTTGAGACAGAGTCTCACTCTGTTGCCCAGGCTGGAAGCACGATCTCGGCTGACTGCAACCTCCGCCTCCCGGGTTCAAGCAGTTCTCATGCCTCAGCCTCCTGAGTAACTGGGACTACAGGTGTGCGCCATGACACTCGGCTAATCTTTGTATTTTTAATAGAGTTTCTCCATGTTTCCCAGGCTGGTCTCAAACTCCTGACCTCAAGTGATCCGCCCGCCTCGGCCTCCCAAAGGGCTGGGATTACAGGCGTGAGTGACCACACCCGGCCGGAAAGTGACTCTTTATATAGTAAAATAAAAATACACTGTCAGGAAAGACAACTTTTGGAAGGAAAAACACTAAAACATTCAGAAAATCATTTTACTGGTCAGGACACAATGGCTCATGCCTGTAATCCCAGCACTCTGGGAGGCCAGATCACCTGAGGTCAGGAGTTTGAGACCAGCCTGGCCAACATAGTGAAAACCCGTCTCTACTAAAAATACAAAAAATTAGCCAGGCGTGGTGGCGGGCACCTGTAATCCCAGCTACTATGGAGGCCAAAGCAGAAGAATTGCTTGAACCTAGGAGGCAGAGGTTGCAGTGAGCTGAGATCACGCCACTGCACTCCAGCCTGGGCGACAGAGAGAGACTCTGTCTAAAACAACAATGAAAACCCAAACAAAAGAAAATCATTTTACTAACCATAATCCTAGTCAATGAATCAAAAATGTGTTCTTCACCTATTAATGGCATTAAGTTTTTGATAAAAATTGATGCAAAGAAAGAATTCGCTTTCTAGTAAATCATTAAAACGTAGCTCTTCTGGAAAGTGAATCAGATGGTCATTTTTATTGGCTCATGACCTGTTTTATTGGCCTCATGTCAATATCTGCTTCTTCGCCTTGTGCAACATCATCATTTTCTGCGGGACTGCAGCCTGATATCTGCACGGATGACGGAAGAACATGGAGGCATTCTCTGGAGGACGCGTTAACTCCTGCCCATGTCCATCTTCCACTAAATGTCCTGGGCCTCCCACTACACAGGCCATTCTGAGAGGGGAAGTAAAATGAATGGGCTGGGAGAAGGACAGCGACGTGAGGCAGAAAATACAACTCTTGCAGTAGATGGTGGAAAACGAAATTAGACGTAAGAAACCACGTCTCCATATCAAGAGCTCCTCAAAGTCGGGTCTACAGAGAGTTTGCTACCAACACCCAGAAGGAAGTGTAGAAATTGAGACTAAGCATTTAGAATTTTTTGCAGCAATATGTATAATTTTAGATCAATTGGGGTTTTTTTGTTTTGTTTTGTTTTTTGAGACAGTTTTGCTCTTGTCACCCAGGCTGGAGTGCAGTGGCACCAACTCAGCTCACTGCAACCTCCGCCTCCCAGGTTCAAGCAATTCTCCTGCCTCAGCCTCCCGAGTAGCTGAGATTACAGGCGCCTGCCACTACACCCAGCTAAATTTTTGTATTTTTAGTAGAGATGGGGTTTTGCCATGTTGGGCAGGCTGGTCTCAAACTCCTGACCTCAAGTGATCCACCCGTCTCTGCCTCCCAAAGTGCTGGGATTACAGGTGTGAGCCACCATGCCCAGCCCAATTGTTCTGAGTAATAAAAAAAATTGAGGACTTTTTAATGTCTTTTGGGTTTGGGATTTTTTTCCATTTTTCTATTCATTTTTATTGTCTTTGATGGATAGGTTGATCTGCAACACGATATGGAAAATTTGAAAACTGGTCCTTCATCAAATACAGTTTGAGAAGCACTGCTCTATATCACTCTCCTATGTTTAAAAAGATCAGAGTTTTGTGATTCTCAAATGACAATATTCTTTTTTTTAGATGAGATGAAGTTTCTGTCACGCAGGCTGGAGCACAGTGGTGCGATCTCGGCTCACTGCAACCTCTGCCTCTTGGGTTCAAGTGATTCTTGTGCCTCAGCCTCCTGAGTAGTTGGGATTACATGTGCCTGCCACCATGCCCAGCTAATTTTTGTATTTTTTTTAGTAGAGATGGGGTCTCACCATGTTGGTCAGTCTGGTCTTGAACTCCTGACCTCAGGTGATCTGCCTGCCTTGGCCTCCCAAAGTGCTGGGATTACGGGCATGAGCCAGCATGCCTGGCCAAATAACAACTTTTTTTTTTTTTTTGAGACAGGGTCTTGCTCTGTTGCCCAGGTTGGAGTGCAGTAGTGCAATCATGGCTCACCACAGCCTCGACCTCCGGGGCTCAAGTGATCCTCCCATCTCAGCCTCCCAAGTAGCTGGGACCACAGGCACATGTCACCACGCCTGATTAATTTTTACTTATTTACTTAGCAGAGATGAGGTCTCACTATGTTGCCCAGGCTGGCTCTGAACTCCTGAGCTCAAGCAACCTTCACGCCTTGGCCTCCCAAAGTGCTGGGATTACAGGTGTGGAACACTGCACCCAGCTACAATATTCTTATTTGAACAAAAATTTGCAGACTCCCTGTATTAATCCAAACAAATACAGTCTGTACAAAAGACAGTGTTGCCAGTAAAGAATGGAAGGAAATGTGTGTGTTTCCGAAAGGCTGAAAGTAGTAAACTGGGAGCTCCCATAAAGGCTTTTTTGCCATGATGCTCATAGACCCCCTGGGCCCCGGCTGCAGCATCACCATCCACCAGGGTACGGTTTTGCTAAGCAAGGGAAGCAGGCCTTACCACGGCTGGGTGATCACAGGGACCATCACCCACCCAAGGCTTCCTGGGTGCTGGAGGAGCACTTTCCCGTTACAAAAACTCCATCCAGATGGCTTCCAGGAGCCAACAGTGCCTTGAAATGGGTGGCAGGAGGGCAGACCAGCTAACAGAGAAATAAGATGATGCCATATGTCCAGAGAGAAGGGAGGTTAAACATTCACATCTGCTCTAAGTCGTAGTCTAAGGATGGACTTTAGAGTTGCGTGGTATGAGACAGAGCTGTAAGTTACATCTGTCTAGCCCTCATTTAGCAAAGGACACGCCACCAGGGGCAATGGGCAAGAATGGGAGGAAGAAAGAAGGGAAGAAGTAGAAAGAGGGAGCAGAGGACAGAGGAAGAAAGAGAGATAACCAGCCAGCCAGTGTGCTGCTGAAGACACCACGATCTTCATTGCAGACAAATTCTGCTACGTTGTGAGCCTTAGAAGCATTTGTGATCACACGGACCAGAGACTCAGTCCCAGATCGGCCTTAAGTAATTTCAGACAAGTCACTTTACTTCTCTGTGCCTTATGTTTCCATCTACAAAATGAAGGTGTTGGGCTATGTGGTCTCATTCATTTATTCAAGCAACACACACTGATTAGGCACCTACTGCATGCCACCCATGGTGTTCTGCCCTGGGGATACAGCAGCGAGCAAATCCCAGCCCCCACGGGGCTCACGGCCACACACACTCAGTATTCCTTTCCCCTAGCATTGGCATTCTCAGATTCCGCATCATGTATTTTTATTTCTACACTCCATTGTTTTCAGGTTTAGACATTCTTACCAAAAATAGGAAAGGACAAGGAAAAATCAAGTCGCATGCATTATAAAATTTGCTTCAAGAAAATACAACATACCAAACTTCAACCTTATAAAACAAATTTTATTCATAGCATTGCTAACATTATAGGTTTATAAGAAATTCACTTAAAGGTTCTTTTAAATAATAAAAATCCTATAGTTCACATATTAATAATTATAATATTGATTGTCAATTACGTCCCAGGAACTATGCTAAGCCATTTTATACGCAATATCCTTTAACTTTCACAATAAATCTATGATGGAGGCAACATTTATTCCCATTTTAGAGTTGAAGACGTTGAGGCTGAATGAGGTTAAAACTAACTTGCCCAAAGCCCATGGCTGGTAAATGATAGAACCAAGACATGAACTTGGCACTTACATGCTTAACTTTCTTACCTGTATACACCTTGGTCATTAAAACATAAGTGATGCCAGAGGCTCACTCACGCCTGTAATCCCAACATTTTGGGAGGCCGAAGCAGGCAGACTACAAGGTCAGGAGTTCGAGACCAGCCTGACCAGCATGGTGAAACCCCGTCTCGACTAAAAATAGAAAAATTAGCCAGGCATGGTGGCGCACACCTGTAGTCCCAGCTACTCGGGAAGCTGGGGCAGGAGAATCACTTGACCCCAGGAGGTGGAGGTTGCAGTGAGCCAAGATGGTGCCACTGCCCTCCAGCCTGGGTGACAGAGCGAGACTCTGTCTCAAAAAAAAAAAAAAAAATAAGTGATGCAGTGTGTACAAGCAGCTTATAGTGGTGGGGTGTTTTGGGAAGGCGATAAGCACTGTTTATTCTAACTACTCAAAAACTTATGCAAATGACAAACCCGGTATTTCACTCTCATGTCTTAAAATTGTACACACTGTTCCTGCTTAGCACACTGACTATTATTTCAGGAGCTTCAGACTTTACTCCAGTTTTCTGTGGACTTTTCCTTTCTATCTATATTCTGAACCCTTATTCCCTTCCTCCCTCCCTCCTTTCCTTCCCTCTTTCTATATTCTGAACCCTTCCTTCCTCCCTGCCTCTCTCCCTCCGTCTCTCCCTTTCTTTTCTTTTCTTTGTTTCCAGAGTCTCTGTCACCCAAGCTCGAGTGCAGTGGCGTGATCATAGCTCATTGCAACCTCAAACTCTTAGGCTCAAGCGATCCCCCCACCTCTGCCTCCTGAGTAGCTAGAATTAAAGGTGAATGCCACCATGCCTGGCTAATTTTTCTTTTTTTTTTTAAGGAAAGGATCTTGCTATGTTGCCGAGACTGGTCTGGAACTCCTGGCCTCGAGCCATCCTCCTGCCTCAGCCTCTCAAAGCACTGGAATTACAAGCATGAGCCACCACACCCAACCCGTATGTCTTAACGGAAATTTAAAAGCAAATATTATTGAACTGACACAAATGTTCACTTTGAATGACAAAGGACACCTACCTTTAATTAACTATGGCCTTTGAAGTATAACCTTAAAGCAAGAGAGTAATGACCTAGTTTATACAAATCTAACATATTCGAATATTTTCCTGAACACATCAGCTCCACAAAGGAAGGGAAGCGGAGCCCCTCCACAGGCAACTCAACCCAGCGCAGTAGGGACAGAGGAGGAGGCCGAAGGGACAGTGTCAGTTGACACTCTCAGCTCCACCAGGCAGGAGGATGGGGAAGCAGATCTCTCCCACGGACTCTGCCTTCTGAAAGACACAGGGGCAGGAGGCCAGGAGGACCTCCTGCAGAGCCAGCCTGTGTGCCACCGGGTGTCCAACGGATTGGCTAATGGGCCCACTGCTGCTGGCGGAGGGCAAGTCCTTTTAACACAACAGGCTTTTATTCTCTTAGAAACACTTAATAGCAGGCCGGTGTTGCGAGGCCTGGAAACGGCGCTCCCCTGCTGAGCTCACGCAAGTCAAAAGCTTTCAGCCAAACCAAGGAAATGCCCTGCTGAATAAATCAGTGCCCTTCTCCTCGCTTTTCTTCTTTGCAAGCCGCCGGGAAGAACTTCCACCTGCAGACTGGAGCACCCCAAGTCAGGAGGCCAAATTGCGGGCCCATCTCCAACCCAGTCCTGCCCACATGTAACCCAGGAAACACTGCTGTCTCACCAGCACGCCTCACCACACTGGGAAAGTTCTCCCGCCCAGTCCTGTAGCCATCCCTCCCTGCACGCAGAAACGGGAGGTGCACCCAGGAAGCCCTGAGGCCTGGGAGACCCATCTCCATGGAGCACCCCACGAGGCAAGCACAGCACTCAGGCTCACCTGGGGCTGTGCCCCCTGACAGGTGTGTGACGTGTGTGAGTGTGAGTGCGAGGTACAAGTGTGGGTACCACCCAGCCCGGCAGGGGGGCGTTAGATACCATTTTATTGGGTATTTACTTAGAGGTATCAAACAAAGTTCCAACAACGAGAAAGTTCAGAATTTCCTCCACTGGGAACAGGCTACGGTGTTGAAATTTCTTTTTTCTTTTCTTTCTTTTTTTTTTTAAGAGGGAGTCTCGTTCTAAAGGCCAGGCTGAAGTGCAGTGGCGCGATCTTGGCTCACTGCAACCTCCACCTCCTAGGTTCAAGCAATTCTCCTGCCTCAGCCCCCTGAGCAGCTGGGATTACAGGTGCCCGCCACCATGCCCAGCTAATTTTTGTATTTTTAGTAGAGACAGGGTTTTACCACGTTGGCCAGGCTGGAGTCTCAAACTCCTGACCTCAGGTGATCTGCCCGCCTCAGCCTCCCAAATTGCTGGGATTACAGGTGTGAGCCACCGCGCCCAGCCCGAAACATTATTTCTAAGTCCCAATTTTCCATTAAACTAGTATCATGTATATCATTCACAAATAACATGTATTTATGAAGCTGGGCACTCTACTGAACACCACAGATGCATGATCTCAGCAAATGCTCACTCTCATCAGACAGGACAGGTACTAATAGTGTTCCCATGTTAAGTTTACAAATAAGAAAATTATGACAGAGAGAACATGAGATTTGGAATATGTGTCTGTGGTTAGTTAAGAGATTTTTTTTTAAGTGTGTGTAGGGAGAAAGAAAAGTGGCAGGTGGCAAATCAATCTTGTTCTAGCTGGACACTAAGAGTCTGCAGTGTTTCTCACACTTTATGTACATACAAGTCACCTGGGTATCTTCATACAATGAGAATTCTGTTTCAAGAGATCTGGTATGGGACTGGAATTCTGCATTTTCTAACAAGTACCCAGGTAATATCTTTCCACTGGTCCTCAGGTCACGCTTTGAGTAGCAAGGTACTAAGGATGAGGACAGAGAAAATCACTTTACATATGAAATTGTGCATAAAGTTTTGCCATGCCTAAAACTTGGGGTCTATGTGATTCCAGGATCTTTCTACAAAGTAGAATATTTCTTGATCACTGCAATGTTCGATATAACTTAAGGAGTAACACATTCACAAGGCAAATTCTACAGAATCATTCACTTCCTTCTGGGCCCTGTGAGCCTCTTGGAGGATGGAAATGTGTCCTAATCATTTCATTATGCCCAGAGCCTCATACATTGTTTGTCATTTACTCAGTGACTAATGAACGCTTGCTGAGAAAGTGCGTCTGTAATCCCGTTAGTTTCCACAAGTGAGATGAAGATGCCAAGTAATCAGGCTACAGACCCTACAATTAGGGCAGGGATAGCAAATATATTTCAACTTCCAACAAATGCAGATAGAGTAGTAATGGCTGCCTCGTGTGCTACGTTGAGTAGAATTCTGAGGCTTCACTGGGGCTCAGTGAAAAAGAGAACCATTGCCAAATCACATATTGATGTGCAACGTGACTTTGGAGGAAAGGAAGGAAACCGCCGGGTGCGATGGCTCATGCCTCTAATCCCAGCAGTTTGGGACGCCAAGGCGGGTGGATCACCTGAGGTCGGGAGTTCGAGACCAGCCTGACCAACATGGAGAAACCCCGTCTCTACTAAAAATACAAAATTAGCCGGGAGTGGTGGCTCATGCCTGTGATCCCAGCTACTCGGGAGGCTAAGACAGGAGAATCGCTTGAACCTGGGAGGCAGAGGTTGCGGTGAGCTGAGATCGCACCACTGTACTCCTGCCTGCGCAACAAGAGCAAAACTCCATCTCAAAAAAAAAAAAAAAACAAATGAAACCACATGTATTTGCTACCATTTCTAGGTTAGGAACAAAAGGAGGTAAATAGTGCATCTAGATCTTCTCTGTAACATAAATAATGAAGTCATAATTAAGGAGTATTAGCTCTTTAATACAATAAAACATTTTTAATGTTTGTAAGAACTACAAGCCTAAATCTACTCGGGTGCCTTCTCAATAAAATTTACCAAATTCCACATTTCTACTTCTTTTCTTAGAAAACCCTTTCATCTACTCCTGACTGTCCTGCTTCAGGTCTTTTCCAAGCTCCATTAATTACTTGCACTTTTTCCCTTCTCTTGCTTTACAAATTTGGCGTCTAGAGCTGCCAAAGCCATATCCTAATTTCTTCAGAGATTCTGGATTTGGTGAAAACATTGCAATCTAGCTCCATTGTTTTATTATTCAAACTTTCTTGGCAAGGATCTTATGGATGGATACGTCCGATTAATCTCTGAAACATGAAGCCCTCTTTCAAAGTAGTTTTGCATCTTTTGTTCAAACCACCAGTTATTTTGACAAATTTCCTTAGTCTTCTCTCTGTTTGATGGTAACAACCCTCTGGCATATTCTTTAGGAAGGAGTTGTTAGGACAGTAGTCCCTGAGTTCTCGTAGGATTAAAACTTTTTTTTCGATAACTTTGATACTTGAAAGACAGATGGGCTGGATTTAAAATTCTTGATTCAGATGGTCCTTACCTTTCTTGAAAACATTGTTCCATCCTTGTCTTGCTTTGCACGTAGCTGTTGATAAGGCTGATGCCAATCTAATTTTTTTTTCTTTTTAAGTGACTTGGTATTTTTGACTGGAGGCCCAGAGGTTTGTTTTCTTCCTCCTCTTCCTCCTTATCCTCCTCCTCCTCCTTCTCCCTCATCTTTAACCACAAAGTTTATGAGGATACATCTAGAATTTAATCACGCTGGGTCAATTTTCCCAGATGCATGTAGAAACTTTCAGTATGTAGAGTCACATCTTCTTTTTTCCATAAAGAATTCTTGGATTCTAGTTTTATTTATTTTTCTTTTAGACGAAGTCTTGCTCTGTCACCCAGGCTAGAGCGCAGTGGCACGAACTTGGCTCACTGCAACCTCCACCTCCCGGGATCAAGCGATTCTCCTGCCTCAGCCTCCCAAGTAGCTGGGATTACACGTGCCTGCCACCACGCCCGGCTAATTTTTTGTATTTTTAGTACAGACGGGGTTTCACCATGTTGGCCAGGCTGGTCTCAGACTCCTGACCTCAGGTGATCTGCCCACCTCAGCCTCCCAAAGTGCTGGGATTATGGATGTGAGCCACTGCGCCCAGCCTAGATTGTAGTTTTAAATATTAGTTTTATTCCATCTGCTTGTTCTTCAACTTCAATTTTGTGTGTTGGACTTTCTTTGCCTAGCTTATATATCACTTTTTCTCTGATTCTTTTCACCTCTCTTTATCTCATTTTTGTTGTCTTGAATGGTTTCGTTCCTCTTCTCAATATCCCTTATAATTTTTTTCAGTAGAATCTGAATGGACATCTTGTAATCTCGTCTTCATGCCTGAGATGATTTTTTTTTGTCTTTTTCCTCCATTTCTTTCTGGCATGTCATAATCTTTAATTTTACATTTTCCAGCATTTTGTTTGAGATTTTTCAAATTTCTGGTATTAGGTTTTCTTTCATTTCTTTAAATGCTTGTGCAATTATATTTAGTTCATGTTGGAGGTGGTGTTAACAATTTTCATTTTCTTCATGGTTGTTTTCAGGGAGTATTTCCTTCCTTCGTTTTCTTTTTCCTTTCTTTCTTTTCTTTTTTTTTTTTACATGAAGTTTCGCTCTTGTTGCCCAGGCTGGAGTGCAATGGCGCAATCTTGGCTCACCACAACCTCTGCCTCCCGGGTTCAAGCGATTCTCCTGCCTCATCCTCCCGAGTAGCTGGGATTACAGGCACACGCCACCATGCCCGGCTGATTTTTGTATTTTTAGTAGAGATGGGGTTTCTCCATGTTGGTCAGGATAGTCTTGAACTCCCGACCTCAGGTGATCCACCCGCCTCGGCCTCCCAAAGTGCTGGGATTACAGGCGTGAGCCACCACGCCCGGCAGTTTTCTTTTTATAGCAAATTTTTATGGATGTTTGCTGCCATTTTCTGGTCATTCTTACATCAATTGGATTTTCTTAGACCAGCAAAAATAGGTCTGAAATCCCTTGGGTGCCTCTAAGTTTCTTATTTCAAGAGCACTCTCTTCAGTTGTTCAAGTGCAGTATCTTTGGAAGTAACATCGTTTTTGGTGGGAGCTGGGAGTTAGCTCTGCTGCTTCGGGACATTTATTTCCCCAAGTCTGCGGTACACCTCGTCTCTAGTTACACTGTAGGTGTGGGTTCTGAGTGTTGTTGTTTTTTTTTTTTTGCTTTTTGTTTTGTTTTGTTTTTAGATGGAGTCTCGCTCTATCGCCCAGGCTGGAGTGCAATAACGCGATCTCGGCTCACTGCAACCTCCGCCACCCGGGTTCAAGCGATTCTCCTGCCTCAGCCTCCAGAGTAGCTGGGATTACAGGCATGTGCCGCCACGCCCAGCTAATTTTTCTATTTTTTGTAGAGATGGGGTTTTACCATGTTGGCCAGGCTGGTCTCGAACTCCTGACTTTGTGATCCGCCCACCTCGGCCTCCCAAAGTGCGGGGATTACAGGCGTGAGCCACCGAACCCGGCCTCTGAGTGGTTTTATTTGCTCTCTTTGTTCATCTTCATATACATCAACAGGAGAATGAATAAAGAAATTTGGAAAATAACAGAAATTAAGATTCAGATGACAGTCACTTTGTTTTAATCCAAAGTATTACTTTGCTTACAGAATAATCAAACACTACTTTTAATCAGTACTTTCAATAGTTACAGTGCCTGTCACTTATAGGAATAGGATGAGGCTAAAAATGTTAGGAAAATAAACGCAAACACAGTGAGTATACATCAGATTAATGAACAACAGGATGGCCAAGACAAAAGGTACCGGGCACATCAGCTGCTGACGGACAGCCTGGATTTTGCTGTAGTGCGTAGCTCTGCTCTTACCTGCGAATGTGTCAAAGTTGAAAGTTAGTAAGTCACGGCTCCTTACCTGCAGGAGTTTGAACTACAATGTACCTCTTTTAGAAATGGTACCCTCATCACTCCAGGCAGAGAATATCCTGCTCTTAGAAGATCATTTGGAAGCAAAATTTGCAACCCCCCTAAAAATACAGTTTGGGAATTTGACAATATATCCTGTCAGAGACACATGGGTAAGATAAATCCGGCAGGGGGCGGTGGCTCACGCTTGTAATCCCAGCACTTTGGGAGACCGAAGTGGGTGGATCACATGAGGTCAGGAGTTCAAGACCAGCCTGGCCAACATGGTAAAACCCAGTCTCTACTAAAAAAAATTTTTAAAAATTAGCCAGATATCGTGGCACGTGCCTGTAGTCTGACCTACTAGGGAGGCTGAGACATGTGAATCGCTTGAACCTGGGAGGCGGAGGCTGCAGTGAGCCAAGATTGCATCATTGCACTCCAGCCTGGGCAACAGAACGAGACCCTGTCTCAAAATAAATAAAGAAATACAATAATAATAATAATAATAAATCCCTCTAGCTGGAAGGTAACCTTATTTTCTCTTGTTAAAGCCATCAGGCTACGATTAGGAGTCAGTATCATGCGGTGATTGGAGAATGAACTCTGGAGTCAGGTGACGCTAGGCTCCTGCCTCTGCTCCATCACTACTAGGCGTGCAGCCTCCAGGGGTGAAGCAACCTGCTACATTTCAGCTGCAAAATGAGGGTAACATTATCTCCTCAGATTACTGCGAAGATTAAGTGAGATAATACATGTAAATTACTAAGTGTATCTCCTATATACAGTAAGCACTCAATAATTGTATTTTATTGTTATCAATATTATCATCACTCTTTCCTCTAGTCCTACTTACAACTGCGGAAACTGCCTTTTGTTTTTTTTTTTTTGAGATGGAGTTTTTGCTCTTGTTGCCCAGGGTGGAGTGTGGTGGTGCAATCTCGGCTCACTGCAACCTCCACCTCCCAGTTTCAAGCAATTCTCCTGCCTCAGCCTCCCAAGTAGCTGGGATTACAGGCATGCGCCTCCAGGCCCAGCTAACTTTGTATTTTTAGTAGAGGTGGGATTTCCCCATGTTGGTCAGGCTGGTCTCGAACTCCCGACCTCAGGTGATCCGCCCGCCTGGGCAACTAAGGATACATGGGAAGATACCTGGAGATGCCCCTTGCATGCAAACATCTAGATACAAAGGTGGTGCTAGTTATGGAAATGTACAAGTGCAGGGAATGATCAAAGCTCCTGAAAGAGGGCCCCCTCAGGAGGTGCTGGAACAATAGGGAGAGCAAGGGAGAGTGAATGGAGAAGGCTTCCGATGTCCCAATGTGCTACAGAATCCATGTTATAAGTGGCATGCGTGGGACCCTATTAATACAGGTGGCCTTTGAAGGCAAGTCTAAGAATGTTATATCATTGTTTCCATGAATAAATATAGCCACAGTGTGTTTGTTTTGTTTTGAGACAGAGTTTCGCTCTTGTTGCCCAGGCTGGAGTGCAGAGGCGCAACCTGAGCTCACTGCAACCTCCGCCTCCCGGGTTCAAGCGATTCTCCTGCCTCAGCCTCCTAAGTAGCTGGGATTACAGGTGCCCGCCACCATGCCCGGCTAATTTTTTGTATTTTTAGTAGAGATGGGGTTCCACCATGTTGGCCAGGCTGGTCTCAAACTCCTGACCTCAGGTAATCCACCCACCTCAGCCTCCTAAAGTGCTGGAATCACAGGCGTGAGCCACCACACCCAGCCTCAGAGTGTTTTTTTAATGACTACCAAAAGGTTTTTGGAAAATAACCCAAATATAACAGTCTGATACATTTAGTGGCTCAGGAAACAGTGAGTCTAATACTGTAACTGTGTTCTTCCCTTCTCCTATCATTACAAGTTTTAAATTCCACACTCCAGAGCAAAGCAGGGAGCAAGCTCAGAGGGTAGTATCTCTGCCCGTGAGGAATCCACATGACAGACAACCATGGTCAAGGGCGGTGTGACAGGGGTGGGAAGAAACAAGAGAGGCCAATGATGGCGAAGAGGACGGAGGCCGCAGCCTTAGGCCCAGATGCAGAGGTGCCAGTGGGTTTCCATGTTACACTGGCTTACCCCATCAACCTGTGCTACATCACATGGGAAGTTTTGTTACACTGCTAATTTTAGCAACATTATAGACTTGAAATCCTCTGGCTGTGGAAGGAAGGGGAATTTCTTTCTGGACCTTCCAGGTAAGCAAATCCTGGCTTAATCCAGTTTTCCTTCCTTTCTGATCTGCCCACGTTTCAGCTCAACCAGACAGACACACACGCCTCTCCGCAACTGGATCTGGGTAATAATGTCACCTGGTACTGAAAAGGGAGCTGTTCCTCAAAAATGCCAAAAAACGACATAGGACTGGCCCGTGCTAGGGGTGGACTGAGTGAATGGTGCACCATTCCCTGTGGGTCATTCGAAACAAGCTGCCTGTCTTTCAAGAATCTGAAAGATGCTGCCTGACAAAGCAGGACCGTGGCACTGGATGTCCGTGAGGGTGCCTGAAGAAAAGTGGAAATAAGCTGGTTTCACTTAGGCAAAGGGCAAGCCCACTGAGCTTTCTTACAGCAAATTAGAAGCTTAAGCCCAGGAACCAGAATGAACATCACTGTGATCATGACTGGCAGCACATGATTCTGCCATCATACCCTTTTCGTTCCCAAACTCAAAGAGATGCATCTGGCCAGGTGCGGTGGCTTATGCCTATAATCCCAGCACTTTGGGAGGCCGAGGCGGGTGGATCACCTGAGGTCGGGAGTTTGAGACCAGCCTGACCAACATGGAGAAACCCCATCTCTACTAAAAATACAAAATTAGCCGGGCGTGGTGGTGCATGCCTGTAATCCCAGCTACTCAGGAGGCTGAGGCAGGAGAATCGCTTAGAACCTGGGAAAAGGAGGTTGCAGGGAGCCGAGATCGCGCCATTGCACTCTAGCCTGGGCAACTAAGAGCAAAACTGTGTGTACAAAAAAACAAAAAAAAAAAGAGGTGCACCCTCCACAAGAATACAGACTGAGGGCTGAGATGCCCAACACAAATGCGGCAAAGAGAGAAACCTCATGCCTTGATGGTGGGAAAGACTTAGCGTTCAGTCTCTGCTGGGACAAGGGAATAAGACAATGCACAGCTGGCTCTCTGCAACCTGAGAAGGCCAGCTGATCCACAGGCCCCAAGTTCACGTCCTCGTTTGCAGTTTCATCTCTTTCACGATCAGGGGACTTTAGGTGGAAGTGCTGTCACTGGTGGACGACTCTTCCCCACTGGATTCCAGATCTTCCCCACTTTGCCCACCTTCCTGCAGGTCATGAGGGCCCTGAGCTCAGCACTGCTGCTGCCCCTCGTGGGGAACGCTGCTGACTGCATGGATCGTTGTGAAGATGAAGCGAGATCATGGACATCAATCACTAAGCACAATTTCCTGCACACAGTAAGCACTCAACAATTGCTCTATTTTGTTTCTAACATGATGTGCTCAGTGAAACGCAAAACAAATTTGCCAAGAGTTTGTTCCCTTAATCCTGAACCCCCTGTGCATTTTAAGGGAAGCCAGACCATATGGTTCAGATTTCACTCACAAATAAATCAGCATGACGTTTGATCAGTAAAAGCTGTTTTATGCTATTGTTTTTATGGGCCTTTTTATCCCAAGCACTAAAATAATAATAATAATAAAACCTAGTTGTGTTTTGCTAAGGGTAAATAAACTCGGGCTCAAACCCTTCCATCCCTACGGACCGAGGAAAGGGGAATGCCTCTGATTATAGCCAAATGAGTCCTCTCTGGCCTCCAGCCACCTGCACAGGACTTGGAAGACGAGGGAAGAACCCCTAGCAAGGAAAGCCAGAAATGTGGATGGGTGAGGGTAGCCCCACAGAAAAGGAGTCACTGACTCCCAACAGGAATCATTACATGGCAGGAGCAATAGGCTCATTCCTCTTCTCTGACACGGCCGGTGTAAGCATCCGACGCATGTTTTCTCCATCAGCCCTCCTGCAGAGGGCCATCGACTGCTCTTTGCAGGAATCTGCAGCCTCAGCAGACTTAGATACACAGAGATTGGACAGGAAAGTACAGCCTGTGGCCATGTTGTTAGCCACAGATACTAATACTATGGGAAATAGTTTCCTATGGCAAAGGGCACCCCCAGGACCCTTCTCCTTGGTTTAAACAACAGCGCTTTAACTGGCCCTTCACCAGGTACACATCTGGCTATGCAGGACTCTCCCACCCAAGGTTACTGCCACCTCAAGTCCTGTGGGTATCAGTCCCCAGCTTTGCTTTTTACACAGTAGTATCTCATCTCTATGAATTCTGAAATTGTGTGTTTTGCTGTTGTAAATTTGTAAAAAGGCTATTATAGTCTCAGACATTGTGGTAGAAGTGTAAAATGGTGTAAACTACCTTGGAAACTCATCTGGAAGTTTTTGTGGTTGGAGAATATAGAGAAAACTCAGCCTCACACAGATATGAAGTAGGAATATGAAGAACTATTTTAATAGCCTTTTCAGATAATTATGGCTATTCATCTTTGATACAAACCAAAACTTTAAAAGTGGTAGTTTCTTAAAGGTTAGTTGCAATATGGGCCCTGAAACCGTTATCAGTAAACTTTTTCTACTCCACTACATGGAAATCCATTGGTCTACGCCACAGTTGGAATGGAACTTTTACCTGTGTATAACTGTATAATATCCTACACAGGTCATTTAGAAAATAATTATTCAGTGAGTTATACATATCTTGCAAATGTTGATGCATGTCATTATGTTTTTAAATCATATGTCAATATCACCACCAATCTTGTCAGAAAAATTGTTAGTTATTGGGAAGCTCTCAAGTTCATGGTGACAAATACAAGTTTTCAAAAATTCTAATTCTTCCTTGCAAGTTCAAGTTGTATCAATAGCAACAAATGCTGTCAGCTGTTTCCCTTGAAGTGACAGCTTCACTGCCACATACGCAAACCTGAATAACTGTAGTTGGTCAGTTGCTCTTCCAGGTAAAAATGGTGTTCCATGAGAAAAGCAGCTAGCTTGGCTGGCAACTCAAACAACTGCGTATACGCCCTTCCTGAAGACAATCGTGCTACTACGGTGGAGTGGAAGTGCTTTATGAGGACCTTCCATTACATCATACAGAATTTTTTTTTTTTTTCTTTGAGACGGAGTTTTGCTCTTGTTGCCCAGGCTGGAGTGCAGTGGCGCAATCTTGGCTCACCGCAACCTCCGCCTCCCAGGTTCAAGCGATTCTCCTGCCTCAGCCTCCCCAGTAGCTGGGATTACAGGCACGCGCCACCACACCCGGCTAATTTTTGTATTTTTAGTAGAGACAGGGTTTGTCCCTATTGGTCAGGCTGGTCTCGAACTCCCGACCTCAGGTGATCCACCCGCCTCAGCCTCCCAAAGTGCTGGGATTACAGACGTGAGCCACTGCACCCGGCCATCATACAGAATATTAAAAGAACATGTATTCAGGGGCTGAGATTTAAAAAGATGCACATCTGTTCTGCTTCACCCAGGGCATTTTTAAGTGATGCTGACTCCTTTTTCTGTAAGTTGGTGGTGATGAAGAACACACTGACAAAGGTACAGTTTGGTGCTACTGCCTCAATTTACCCACCGTTACCTTTGCACCATCTACGTACATGTCAGCACAGTGTAGAGGAGAAAAATGTCTCAGAATTATAATGAAAATAGCTGTGACATATGGGACCCCCTGAAGGAGTGTTGGAGAACCTAAGAGGTCTGCAGAACACACTTGCAGAACTGCTGTGCTATGGAGTGAAAGAAGTCTCAGACAAAGCGTGCATCTGTTGTTATTCCATTTATATGCAATTCTAAAACACACAAAACTATGAGAACCACTGTTCTAACTTTTTTCTATGGTGGAAAAAAAATAGAATAATTGTTGCCTCCTGGGGAAAGGAGGCTGAAAGGCTTGACTGGAGACGAGTTAAGGGGGATTTTCTAAGCCAATGGTAAGGTCCTCTGTCCTGACAGGAGTCTGGGTTACACAGGTGCATGCCCTGACCAAAGCTCAGTGAATGTACCCTTAAGACTTCTGCATTTCATTGCATGTACATTTCACATCAAAAGAAAAACACTGTAAATAAATATGGAAATCTAGTTAATGATATACATACTTAAATATGTAGGAGGAAGTATACCAGTGAATCCAGGTTTCTCTGAAATGTATCAGAAAATAAGATGGATTCCAGCAGGGGTTCTCAGCTTCAGCACTGCTGCAATCTGGGGCTAGCTGATTCTCTGTGGTGGGGGCTTGCCATGTGGAATGCAGGCTGTGACCAGCGTCCCTGGCCTCTACCCACACCAGATGTCAGTAGTACCCTATCCCAGCTGTAACAACTAAAACTGTCTCCAAACACTGTCAGATATTCCTGGGGGGCAAAATCACCCCAAGCTGAGGACTGCTGAATTAGAGGGAATAATGAATGAGTATGTGAGAAAGCAAACATAACAAAGTGTGAAAGGGATAAACAAGATGATGGGCATACAGGTACTCACGAGAAAATTCTTTCAGTTTTACTGAATGTTTGAAATTTTTCATATTAAAACATTGGGTTAAGAAAGGCTATTGTGTATTAAGTAACGTTTTTTGCACTTAATATTATATTGTAAAGTTTAGCCATAGGATTATATGTCATTACAATTTGTCGATTTGGGGGTATTGTTTTTAAAATTTTTGAAAATTTTGTGTGAAAAACTCTATTGTTTATCCACTCTCAATATGCAACATTTGGGTTGTTTCAAGGTTTTGCTGTGGTGCTGCTATGAATATTCTTGTACAAGTAATCTGTAATTCAACCTCAGGCTCATTTATTGATTTTGCTTCCCTTCTGTCGTATTTTAATAAGGCTGCTCTATTTTGAGATTAGATAAAAATTCACCTATATTTTCTTCTAGTTCTTTCAGAGTTTCATTTTCTACAATTAATTGTGTAAGCCTCTAGAGTATACGTTAGTGTTTTTGTTTGTTTGTTTGTTTTTGAGATGGAGTCTCACTCTAGTCACCCAGGCTGGAGGGCAATGGTACGATCTCGACACACTGCAACCTCCGCCTCCCGGGTTTAAGCGATTCTCCTGCCTCAGCCTCCCAAGTAGCTGAGATTACAGACACCCACCACCACACCTGGCTAATTTTTGTATTTTTAGTAGAGACGGGGTTTTACCATGTTGGCCAGGCTGGTCTCGAACTCCTGACCTCAGGTGATCCGCCTGCCTCAGCCCCCAAAGTGCTGGATTACAGGCGTGAGCCACCAGGCCCGGCCCAGACCATTTGTTAAGAGGGTCTTTCCCCCGTCACTAAGTTGGCATGTGATATTTCTTAACCATGACAACGTGCCTTTTCCTCCACAGATAAAAGAACTGAGAATGTACTCTAGAGTTGCACTCTTCACAGCTCGGGAGAATGACTGTTTCCCTCTCTGTCTCTGCCAAGTGCCACTTTCTGTCATGCATGTCATGCAGTTGAACATGTTTGATTCCACGGATATAAATTCCAATTCACATTATCCATATCCATTATCCATAGAACAGTCAGTCAGACCTAGAAGCCAAGGCTATTGACTTCTCTATACTTTAAAGGATAAAAACAATCACATTTAAAATTTTACTTCAAAACTCAGAACTGAATCTCACAAATACCAAGCTATCTGGTAAGGCTGCCTGAGTTTGTCAAGTTGAATGCAAACACAAAGTATAAAAAGTAGGAAGAATAGGCCAGGCACGGTGTGCCCACACCTGTAATCCCAGCACTTTGGGAGGCCGAGGCAAGCTGACCACCTGATGTCAGGAGTTCAAGACCAGCCTGGCCAACATGGTGAAACACCATTTCCACTAAAAATACAAAAATTAGCCGGACGTGGTGGTAGGGGCCTGTAATTCCAGCTATTTGGGTGGCTGAGGCAGGAGATGGTTTGAACAGGGGAAGCGAAGGTTACAGTGAGCTGAGATCATGCCATTGCACTCCAGCCTGGGTGAGAACAGTGAAACTCCATCTCAAAAAAAAAAGCAGGAAGAACAGAATTTTTTTTTTTTTTTTTTTTTTACTTCAAACTTCAGAGAAAGGCCACTTCTGACTGAAGGGCCACCACGCTTGTTAGAAATATTGCTGAGTGTTTTCAGCATGTGAGAAACTCTTTCCAAAGTTTTGCTCATTTATTCCCTTCTTTCTTTGGGTTGACCTCACAAGTTTTGTTGGTGACATTAGCTCCCCTGTTTGCCGTTACTGTTGATGCTCTTTCAGAAATATTTGGATATAGGCTACACACTTTCTTAAGATTGGAGAGGGAGAAAAAAAAACTCATTTCCCATTAACAAACTTATTTATACAAATGTCACTTTGGAACTTAACTGACACCATGTGCCTCCTCTGACACCAGCTGAGGGAAGGCAGTCATTAGAGGTCACACCAAATGGGGCTGTCCTGGGTCACTGTTTGGTTTTTATGGCCACTGTAATCCCTGGGGCCTGCTCCTTCCCGATCCCCTTCTTTCCCAGGCTTCAACTTGAGCATCCTGCAGATAAAACTGAGGACAGTGGAGCCGTGTGAAATTCATTACCCGTGGGGGACAAAACCACTCAGGCTGTGGTCTTCCCTCCCCAAAAGCCTGTCCATACCCACCCCAGCCCCCAAAACCCACACCCCATCCTCTTGGAATTCTCATTGTGTTTGGAAATTCTGTGGCTTTCTGAAACAATGCTGGTGTTTCTGGTAGTTAAAGAAAACCAGCTGCAAAACAGCACAACCTCCTTTTGAAAGAGACAGTATTTAATGCCTTAAAGAATGGATCTCAACCTCGCCCACCCATCCCCACCACCCACACGCTTTATTGGGATATTGTACAGTCACATGCCTTACTCCTTCGGGGTGCCTGACTAGTGAGGCGCACTCTCCACCTCACCCCGCGGAGGCTTCCCAAACCCAAAGCAAGAGGAGAAACGGAAGGGGAGGGAGCACAGGCTGTGAAGACCCTGGACCCCGGACCCTGGACCCTGGACCCTGGACCCTGGACTCCATCGTCTGGTCACTGAACCTCTCCAAGTCTCAGTTCCGACACTGGTGAAAAGTGGAGTCAGTGATCATTCTTACCTTAAAAGCCCACAGGGTTACTGTGAGAATTAGACGGGAACATCCACGGAAGGCTTCAGACCCCAGTCAGGATGACTTTCCTATCGGTGATTATTGTTACTATCCATCTAAACTGTCAAAGGGGAAACAAGTCTCAAGGAAGAAAACACTAGCTGTTCCTCTGATTTTCTGTTCCCACACCCCCCAAATTACCCACTGGTCTTCAACGCCACCTGGAACATGGTGCGGAGAGAGAGGCCGAAGCTCTCCTGGAAACACCCAGCAAGGACCCCTCCTGAAGGCCAGCTGTCCCCCTGGGCTCTCACCTCTGCCCCCTGCATCAAGTCTCCTATGAAGGCAAGGGAAGAAGCCCAGCAGAGTTTGGGCTGTTCGGAGAAGTCAAATAAGGTGGAATTTGCTAGGAACCCCCATAGTCTTTTGAGGCCTAGATATGGCTGTCCCAGTGGCCTGGGTGGGAGTCAGTGCTCTGTCCCCTGGCGCAGCCAACTCTTCCCTGGAAAGCAGGGAGCTGGCAGGAGAGGCAGTGATCAGGGTGAAAACTCAGGAAGACACACCTGGTGTTCTGGTTTCTTTCTTTGTTTTCTTTTTTTTGGGGTGGAGGGGACAGGATCTCACTCTGTTGCGCAGGCTAGAGTGCAGCGGTGCAATCACAGCTCACAGCAGCCTTGACCTCCTAGGCTCAGGTGATCCTCCCGCCTCAGCCTCCTGAGTAGCTGGAACTACATGCATGTGCCACCACACCTGGCTAATTTTTTGTATTTTTTGTAGAGATGGAGTTTCTCCATGTTGCCCAGGCTAGTCTGAAACCCCTGGGCTCAAGCGATCTGCCTGCCTCAGCCTCTCAAAGTGCTGGGATTACAGGCATGAGCTACCGCGCCTAGCTGCAAATACCTACTTCTATTAGAAACCAGAGCAGACTAGGCGCAGTGGCTCGCGCCTATAATCCCAGCACTTTGGGAGGCCGGGGCAGGCAGATCACAAGGTCAGAAGATGGAGACCATCCTGGCTAACACGGTGAAACTAAAAAATTAGCTGCGCGTGGTGGCGGGCACCTGTAGTCCCAGCTACTCGGGAGGCTGAGGCGAGAGAATGGTGTGAACCCGGGAGGCAAAGCTTGCAGTGAGCTGAGATCGCATCACTGCACTCCAGCCTGGGCAACAGAGCAAGACTCCGTCTCAAAAAAAAAAAAAAAAAAAAAAAAAAAAAGAGGTAGGTATTTGCTACCTCCTGTGTGATGACAATGCTTTCCCCTCTCAGACAGACACAGAGAAGTAACCCACGGTCAGAACAAGACACTCTTGACTCTTGGGAGAGGACATCTTCCCAGAGAGTAGATGGGGGCAGATGCTCCCTCCTGGCATACACAGTCTTGGAAGGGTCAGTGCCAACTGAAATGGCAAAGTCAGAAATGCCAACAAGAACCGGGGAAAGGGTTTCAGGTCTGGCTGAGTCAGCTGCCTGTCAAGCTTCTACAAAAAGCAGGAGTTAAGAGCCAATAACTTTTTAGTGGTTCATTCTGCCCCAAGCTCCCTTTTTTAAAAAGGCTCATCCTGTTTATTAATTCATAGATTTAGAAACATAAAGCCCCCCTACGGCAAGGTACCATGTATATTTGCTTATTAAAATTCTGAGCTAGAGCGCACATGTGAAATAGACATTGAAACTGTTTGTTCCAAGGCAGTCCCATCTTAGGCGATTCCATGCGGCACACTGCAGAGCTCCTGGGGTCACCCTGGGCTAGAAATGGGGCAGAAGAGACACCTCGGTTCTTGTTCTTCCATAGAGAGTTGATATTCAGATCTCCCGGCGGATTGAGTGAAAACCATCGGCCCCACACCCAATACCCTCCTGCTTTTTCCTCACTCACCCTCCTCTGCTCTTCTTTTATCTCTCAGATGGGTGGACAGGTAAACAGGGAGAAGAAAGACAGCCATAGAGTTCCCTTCTGCTTTTCACCTGAGCCCTCCCTTCCCCTTCCCTCCCTCAGAGTGACAACTGCTGCTACTATCCCTGTTTATCTTATGCTAACCAGACCAGGAGATGGGATCCATCTGCTGAGGGGACCCTAAGGCACCCCACTGAGAAGCCACAGGCACAGTCTGCCCCCGAGGGCCCGAATGTCACTGCTCTGGTGACATGAAAGCTGGAGTAGCCCCTGGGATTCCCAGCCTGAGTTCTGGGGCCCCCACCATGGCCTCTGGCCTCTGCCCGCTGCACAGGATCCAGACATGCTGGACTGTAGGTGGGCTCTCTTCAGAGTCACCAGGCAAAAAGGATAAAGAAAAATGGCCAAATACTGAGTCACCGCATGGGGGCTTTGGAAAGAATGCAGGACTAAGCCCAGTTCCACCAGCAGTTGATGAATCTCAGGCAGCTCATTTATTCTCTCGGTGCTTCTGTTCCACTTTTGTAAAATTCGGGTGACAAGAAAACCTAACCGGCAGGTTGGTGATGATCAAATGGGATGGCGCATGTGGGTGTGCAACTGCTGGCAGCTGTGACTGTTCTGCGGACCTGTGCTCTGAACTTTGGTTTCCTCGTCTGAAAGATGGAGATAATCATCTTTACCAGGCCAGCACTCAGGACTCTTGGCGAGCAAGGCGGGTATCGTGAGATTACAAATCAGGAATAATATGTGTGTCGTGATATTAAAATAAAACAATCGACCGGGCGCAGTGGCTCATGCCTATAGTCCTAGCACTTTGGGAGGCTGAGGCGAGCAGATCACCTGAGGTCAGGAGTTCGAGACCAGCCTGGCCAATGTGGTAAAAATCCCCGTCTCTATTAAAAATACAAAAAAAAATAGCTGGGCGTGGTGATGGGCACCTGTAATGCCAGCTACTAGGGAGGCTGAGGCAGGAGAATCGCTTGAACCCCAGCAGCGGAGGTTGCAGCGGGCCGAGATTGTGCCATTGCACTCCAGCGTGGGAAACAGAGCGAGACTCCGTCTCAAAAAAAAAAAAAAAAAAATTAACAAATAAAACAATCACCACCAGAAAAGAGAGTGAGAGTCATTTGTTGTCCAAATTCTAAAGAGAAATTTTTTTTCCAACTAAAAGCTTCTCTCCTCAATACGGCGTTTCCTGTTTCACTGCTAAATTGGGTGGAGGTTTTTGTTGTTCTTGTCATTGTTGTTGTTTTAACCATTGACACCCTTTTCTCCTTTCAAGTTGCATTAGTTTAGGGCAAATGAGACCTCAATCAGAGGGGAATTGGACATCACATTTGTGTCCCCAGATGAGGAGACAGTAATGGGGAACCTCCCTGCTGAGACAAATATCCTTCCCTGTGGGCGGGATGCCTCTGAGGCTGGGTCAGGAAGCAACAAAGGGAGCTCTCTCAGAAGCTCCAGGGACTGCAGTTGGCTCCCTGTGCTCTGTGTTGCCTCTCTAACAGATGCAGTAGCACAGTGATCTCAAATATGAAATAAGGCAAAAGTGAAACGATTTTATATTAAACACTTCAAAAAACTGCAGACGCAGTTGAGGCAGGAACGTGGTCCTCCTTTGAAGATCACTAAACCTAGCTAACTCTTTCAACACACTGATTTAGCCCAGAAAGAACCAATTTGCGAAAGAACCAAGGTCAAATATGACATTCCACATTGCAGAGCCGGGTGATGCCTATTTCCAGGGAGAGCAGCTCCCCATCTGACTAAACGAGCTCTTCTTCATTTAAAACCCAGAGATGATTCCAGGGAACATAAAGCATACTTTCCGAAAGGCTACAATACATCAATTTTTCTTGCCTGCGTACCATCTAGATTTAGCCACTTAGTTCATCTTAATAAACAAGTTACTCATTCAAAGGAAAATAAATGAAATGTTTTGCCTTGAGGGACAGTTTTATTTTTAATAGTTTGGTGCTACAGCAACAGAAGTAATATTCTGCCATCTGAATTGCCTTTTGTTCTTCGGGACTTCTTGAGGGTGGGGTGGGGGAGGGCGGGGTAAAGGTTGCAAGTCTCTGAGTTTACCCTGTTCATAAACATAAATGCAAGCTCCTTCTCCTGCCCTTCTTTTTGTTACAGATACATCAGATGTTGCAAGGAGCTTATTTAAAGAAATGGAAGTTTATCGTCATGTCAATGCTGTATCTTTGAAGTTTTTGTGTGTGTGTGTTTTTTTTTTTTAAAGCAAGTAATTCCCATAAAAATGGAACTCAAGGAGAAGGGATATCTCTTAAAGAAATAACAGGTAATATGCACAACTATGATGCTGGGGTCTGATTCCTATTACTTATTTATTTTTTAATTAATTAATTTTTTTTTTAGAGACAAGGTCTCATTATGTTGCCCAGGCTGGACTCGAACTCCTGGGCTCAAGTGATCCTTCTGCCTGAGCCTCCCTAGCAGCTGGGACAACAGGTGCTCACCACTGAACCCAGCTTTGACTTCGTTTAATATAAAGTCAAATTTTCTTTTAATATGTAATCTTGAAAGGAAGATGAGGTCATGCCAACATTATACCACTCTAAACAGTAGAGAATATAGGGGCACATTTTCAAATTATCTAAGGAACTCACATCATTAGTCCAAAAATATTCTGATCATAGAAGCCTCTAAAAAAACACAAAAGCACAAAGACAATACACAGTCACCCAATTTCTTCTATCCCAGCTTTCCAGATCCAGCACATACCCTAAAAGGGGCTGTAAGCCTCTCAGGAGCAGAGACCAGCTTCGATTCCATTTTCCACACCCCGAGCCCAGCATAAGGCCTGGGGCAGAGCTGACATGGAATGAATCTATGTTGAAGGAATGGATGCGTTAACTAACAAATGAAATGAATCCTCCAGAGGAGGAGAAGCCTCCACTGGCTTTCAGAAATGGAAGAGGGTAGAGTTCTCTCTCCACAGGCCCTGAGGAGCAGCATCTGCTTCATGTCTCAGAGCTGTGGCCTCCCTGGTCTCAGAGAGGCCTGTTCACGCATCAGGCAGCTCTGTCCTTCTCGGGAACTGAATCTACTTCACACCAGTCCTGGAAAACACCCTCCCAATAGCACGGTGAAGGGAGGTTACCTGGACCGTGTCATGCTGGGGCCGCTGGCTGGAGGGCACCTGGCTGGTCACCAAGGAGCCGGGCCCTGAGAGTACTCGGCCACCCTTCCTCCCATGGTGGCTGCCATCTGGCACCCAGAAACCCAGCCTGAGGACGTTTTCCATCATAGCCTGAGCCAAGCAAGAGAGGACAAACAGCAGGGAAAGAGCTTTAGTCTGGGAAGGGAAAGAGAAACTTCCCAGAGAAACTTTGGAAGAGAAGCTTAAGGGAAGGGTTAGGGAGATGTATGCAGAACAAAGTAGATAATCCTACCCGTTCTCCGTGGCCCAACTGACATGCCACCTCCTTCATCAAGTTTGCCCTCATTCAGCCGATCTCCCAAGATGCCTCCCTCTTCTTAACTCTGACTACTCTCATTCTGCTGCTCAGCATTTCCCTTTTACCGCCTACCATATTCTGTCTTCTATGTCGTTATTTATTTACTTATTTATTTTTCAGACGGAGTTTTGCTCTTGTAACCCAGGCTGGAGTGCAACAGCACAATCTCGGCTCACTGCAACCTCCACCTCCTGGGTTCAAGCGATTCTCCTGCCTCAGCCTCCCAACTAGTTGGGATTACAGGTGCGCACCACCAAGCCCAGCTAATTTTTTGTATTTTTACTAGAGACGGGGTTTCACCATGTTGCCCAGGCTGGTCTCAAACTCCTGACCTCAGGTGATCCACTTGCCTCACATGTTCATGTCCTGTACTATCCCATTTTAGGCTTGAGGCTGGGCTCTTCAGCACACCTGCACTGGACGCCCGCTCAAGGACTTGCCCTCTGTCTGGCAAAAAGCCTTCAAATGGGATGGTAATGTGTTATTTATTAGGCCAGATTGTGGATACAGATTGTTTGTTACATTCTTTATGCTCCTTTGTATTTCTGACAGAGTTTATGATGATATTAAAAAAATGTTTTTAGAGGCAGGATCTCACAGTGTTGCCCAGGCTGGAGTGCAGTGGCCCAATCAGCTTACTGTCACCTTGAACTCCTGGGCTCAAGCAATCCTTCCACCTCAACCTCCCAGGGAGCTGGGATTACAGGCACACACCACTAAGCCTGACTCTTTTTTTTTTTACTTTTTGTAGAGATGGGGTCTTGCGATGTTGCCCAGGCTGGTCTCCAATTTCTGGTCACTGAGGTATGTAATGAGCAGTGTTAAATTCAAGGGTATCTGGGACTCCCAGCCACTGAAACATCTATTTCAAATGGTCTTCCCATTTATCAGGTTTTCACCAAATTATAAACTTCGATGTTTAGGTCCCATCTACACATCCCTCCTTCCTGTGAAACAGATTTCCCTGCTAACAAAATCTCAGCGGCTGGTCCCTTTTGAAGAAACAATAATGTCATGGGAAGGGGTGTGGACAGAACTGTGGGAGTCTTACTGTGTGGCAACTTTAGAAAAATGTACGTTCCAGGTACAACGACTATCCCGTAATTACCTCAAGGTAGCCCCAGGCTCCATCCTCAATCAGGAAATTCTGCGTCAAGTGGAACTTAAAGTTGGGGCACCACATCTTTCATCACCTAAATAAGGAGTAAGGAACGGGCAGAACAAAGGTGCGGCACACGGTCACGTGTGCATCCACACCACGCACAACGCCTTCTGATGATGATGAAAGGCTCCCAGCGCTCTCAGGGTGATTGACTGCCCAGGCTCCGGTGAAGGAAGGCTCTGCTCCTAACACAGAAAGGAGTCTGGCCCTGCCTTCCTGCCCCACGCCCTTCTTTTCTTCTCTGTCCTCCCATCTCTCTTCCATTACCTCTGCTTTAGGTCTGCCTGGATCAGGCACTTCCATCCCTGAACTCCACCAGCGATCTCTGGGAGTTAAGGGTTTGCTGATCCCTCTTCTCAGAAAGAGAGGGAACACAGCTTTGGCTAAAAGACAGAAGGAGCATGAGAAATGGGCAGACCCTTCGTCAGCGTGGTAGCCTGCAGAGTTTATTTAACCAGCCAGCAGGAAAGAAAAGAGGACACTCCCACCAGGGTCTCCATGTGAGCAGATGGCCTGAAGTGGTCATGTGGCCCCTCTCCAGGCCCCCCACCAGCCTGAGAGTCTGTCTTTTGGGGTTAATTGTGGTAACCAAGCCCCCTTAGGGCCTAGTTAATTTCCTCTCCCTCCAGAGGTTCATTCTTAAAAATCTAAGATTGACCTAAATTGTTCTGAACCGAAAGGAAATCAAAACGAACAAGGTTAATTGGAAAAAACAGCACTCTGGCTACCTTAGGGTTTTATTTGCTCCCCCCTTGGAAAGCCACACTGATTTAAAGGATATTGGTCAACAGGCCTAGAAATGTGTGAATGCTGTTTATTAACTTGAGCTTTAATCTAACTGGGTCAACTTCTCACTCAGTGTTAGCGCCAGGGAGAACCCCCATCAATGACGTCTAGAATCCTTTGTAATTATAGTCATGAAAAATGCCATATGCTGTAAAATAATTTTACTCAATTCATGGGTATGAAGTGCTCCTTAAGTGGACGGGACTCTACTAAAGAGTGACCGGTGAGGAACAGGAATGGTAAAGTGGGGCGGTTCGAGCACACGGCTGACTCGGGGCCCGACGGTGCCGCCTCTCAGGGCGACAGCACGCAAAGTTACACCAAGTGCTCAGGCTTTGGCTCTAAAACCAAGGGGAAACTCGCTGAACTCATGCCGGCAGGCAAACGGAAGTTAGCTGACTGAGCTGCTGCTCTCGATGGTAGCAAAAGAGAGATGCAAGCCTCATTCACCCGTAGGATTGGGGGCAAAGAGGAGAGAGAAAACCTGCATTCGCTTTTCACCCTTAACTGCCCGGAGGCATCACATCTCTTGTGTCAATGTGGGGGATCTGGAGAGGGAAACACAACAGCTGAGAATGGAGCAAGAGCTGAAAAGGGACCTCTCAGGGGTTTGCGCCCATCACGTGGGAGAGAACAGGTGGCACGGGCGGCAGGGTGTCCTGCAGGAACGCAGAATTCCAAATCGCAGACCCACCACTTCCTGTTTTATCATGAGCAAGACTCCTAATCTCTTGAGGCCCCCAATTACCCACCTTTAAAATGGGGATGAGCAATAAAGACACTTCTCTCCCAAGTGGAATTATGGGAAATTGCTTCTAAGACGGAGACCCCAACCGTAAAATTACCAAGCACTGAAATGGAGGCCAGCCCCACCGCCCACTTCTGCCTAGAGCATCCCAAGCAGGCAGTGTTGTCGGGAAGGGTCTGGGGGTGGGGAGGGGCAGTGTCCCTGGGCCACGGCTAAGGGGGGACCCTTCCTCAAGACTCCAAACCGCCATGCTGGAGGGAGTACCACTTCCCACCAGCCCCAGGCTTTTCAGCCCCCTCCCAGGCCCCCGCTGAGGAGCAGTCGGGCAGAGCCCACTGCCGTGGGTGCAGGCCGAATGGAAATCACAAGCATTTGATACGGTGCGGTGCCAGCAAGCAGACTCTGCACTTTCTAAGAAACTGAGAAGGAAACAAGTGCTCCCAAGACAGAACTAAATGGTTCCTGCTAGAAAGTTCTTCCCCTGTTTGTGGGTAAAGTAAGGGAAGATGAGGAAGAGAAGAAACAGAGGATTTAAATTTTTTTCTTTATAAAAAGTTATCATGAGGCCAGGCACAGTGGCTCACATCTCTAATCCCAGAGCTCTTAGAGGCTGAGGCAGGAGGATCACTTGAGGCCAGGAATTGAGGACCAGCCTGGGCAACACAGCAAGACCCCATCTCTACAAAAAGTAAAGAAATGAGTCAGGCTTAGTGGTGCATGCCTGTAATCCCAGCTCCTTGAGAGGCTGAGGCAGGAGGATTGCTTGAGTCTAGGAGTTCAAGGTTACAGTGAGCTGATTGGGCCACCGCACTCCAGCCTGGGCAACACAGTGAGACCCTGCCTTGGGTTTGCAAAGCCGGCCTCCAGCACTGGATCATTTTGGGCCCTGTCAAGGGGCAGACAGCTAGACAGTCACAGCGGGCAGGGGATGGCCCAACTCTTTGGATGGTGAGTCTTTTGCATCTCGAGCAGGGAGAGACTTTCTACTGCCATGACTAACTGGGAGAGCCTCAGGCCACACAGGGGCTCAGACACATGTCTGGGGATCTTGCGGTGACTGCTCCCGTCCCACACCCAGCCAAACCAGATCCCGGTTTGGCTGGAATCAGGGCCTTTTTATTCACAAAAGAATATCGCGTTCAGCAACAGTTGGCTAGTCTCTCCCGTTCAGGCCCATCGCTGGGAAACATCACAAGAAGACACAAGGCCTATACAAGCATTCCCTTGGTGTGAGCTTAAAAACCGCCATACTCCTGAGGGATATATTTTTGGTCTGGAAAGACAAATAACGCTGTGGTGTCCCAAGAAGAACAGAACATCGCCAGTGGTAAAGGATAATGGGTGGAGCTGTGGAGAGGCAAATGTGTCTTCTGAAAGGGCTTCCTATGTCTAGGAGGTTTGTCTGGGGAAGAAAAAATGACAGAAGACCTGGATGCTCCGAACAGCCCTGCAGGACTAGCTGGCTGAGGACGGGCTTGGGAATGTCCTTGGTCCCTGCACTTGGAACTGGCTGATCTCCCCACACAAGGACAGGGCCTACCACAGGCTCTGGGACTCCCTGGCTCTGAGTCCAGCTTCTCCTCCTACGGTGATGGCCTCCTCTGGAAACACTCACCCTCCAGCTTCAATTCTTTTATTTGCATTAAACAAATTTTTTCACTCACTTCATGTTGTATTTTAAAATACGTTTTTTCCTCCTTGGGGAAAAAAATCCCACAATATAATCCAAATACAGTAAAAAAAAAAAAAAAAAGCTTAGGATATTGGGTTCCAGACAGTTCAAAAACTCTGCCAAAAGATTATATTTACCACCAGAACACCACATCGCAGAACAACTTCAGGATTAGGATATTAAAGTGAAAAATACTGAGTAATCCAGCAGCCGCAAGCCTGTCGGTCCTTCCCTCACTGCAGAGTGGGCCTGTGCGGGGTGGTCCCAGCAGCTGCCCCGGCTGGTTGGAGCCCATGGTGCCACCTAGGCAGAGAGGCTGAGGCCAGAGGCTGCGGGTGGCCTGATGTCACCCTGCCCATCCCTGGAATGAAAGCACAGCAGAAGCTGCAGCTGCGGGGCCTTGGGGGTGGGCTGACTGGGAGAGAGTCATGCTGTGAGGCTGCAGACACCCTGGGAGCTGATGGTCCCAGAGGGGTGGAGCCTGTATCTGCACCTCTGTTCCAACCAGCTGCATGGCACAGAGCTAGGCTTACATCCTTCCTGGCCTCTGGATTTTGATCTGGGCTAAGGCTGGAGAGCTTGATCATTCTGGCCAACACTCACACTGTAAGCTGACCCCCACAGGTTAACAGTCACCTTCCTTCCCAAGACCCCAGTATCTTCTTACGGGTGTAGTTTCCAGTAAGCAAATGCCTTGCACGCCGAGCGTGCCACCCGCAGCTGAGTCCCCTGGGTCGGGCAGTGCCCAGGGAAAGCATGGCCACCCACAAGCTGCCACAAGACCCCCAGGCCCTGTTTCCAATCTGCATTTCCCTTTTGATCTCCAGTCACTTCCTTGCACATACCAAATGCTCAAGTCAAAGCCATAGGCACCTTGCATTATTTCTTATGTGTGTACAATGTTCTCGGAATTTACCCCTGAAATGCTCAACCTCCACCGTCCACCGATGAGAATCTCTCATGCTCCAGGCCAGCCTTTCCATGAAGGCTTCCCGGCTCACCCCAGGGAAAAGAAACACCTCTCTCTATGTCCCACAGCTCTTTCTGTAACCTTTTAGAGCTCCCTTTATGTTTTTGTTTTTTCTTTTCCACTTCTACACGTGTTTCTGTACTTGTCTCTTCTTCTCCATTTGATTCATCCATTTGTTAATGTTTTCTTTTTTTATTTTTTTTCTTGTTTTATTTTTTTTAGATGTAGTCTCACTCTGTCAGCCAGGCTGGAGTGCAGTGGCATGATCTCAGCTCACTGCAACCTCCGCCTCCCGGGTTCAAGCGATTCTCCTGCCTCAGCCTCCTGAGTAGCTGGGATTATAGGTGTACACCACCATGCCCAACTAATTTTTTGTATTTTTAGTAGAAATGGGGTTTCACCATGTTAGCCAGGCTGGTCTCAAACTCCTGACCTCAGATGATCCACCCGTCTCAGCCTCCAAAAGTGCTGGGATTACAAGCGTGAGCCACTGCGCCTGGCCTGTTAATGTTTTTCTAAGTGTCCACTCTGTTATCGGTTCTATAGAGGATACTAAGAACAGAGGAGACGAGATCCTTGACCTCAAGGGACTTACAGTCTGGCGAAGAACTAAATAGCAATGGCATCTAATAAATACCCAAGGATGAGCAGTTGGTTTCATCTTCATACTCCCTAAGTGCCCAACACAGAGCCGATGGCCACACAGTGTTTAAACAGACACATGAAAGCAGTGACAGCGTTTTTGCTGTAAACACACAAAGAAGGTAGGAGCTGGGCTAGCTGAGCTCACTGGGACCTATAGTGGCGACTCACACATGCTACATTTTGAGATGAGATGCTGAAGGAGGTGGTGGCCTATATCCCCTCCTGGAAACCCTCCCCTGAATCTTACCTCTACTGCCCCCAAAGCCTGGCTGCGCACACTAAAAATCAGCTCCACCTGGAGATGTTGGGTCCTGGGTGGCAAGAAGCAAAGGAAAGGCAAAGAAGTCTCGTTTTCTCACTATCGACATCCGCTTGCCTCCCCAGGCCTCCACCTCAACATCTTTAACCTGAGGACTTTCTGTGCACGTACCCACGGCTGTGCCACCTCTCCTGAGGAAGGAAAATGAGCGTCAAGCAGCAGCAGCCAATTGGCTCTGTGGATGAGGCTAACTCAATCCCACTCGCCAGCAAGCCTGTTTATTTTATGTCCTTAGAGAGAGAAACACCCCTGAAAATGACCAACTTGTGTCAATTACAGAACACAAGGGCCTGGTGTTATCAATGGGGGAAGATAGATGTAAATTACAGCACAATGAACTCCGGTGAATTGGCTGTTAAGTGGGACAATGGACTAAAAGATGTTGTTTGGAGCACCTCATTAATAAAATTCAAAATTGTTTTCTGCAATTATGTGCAATCATTGCTTATTTTACCCCCAGCCAAGTAGAGTCCCACTGCCAGCCTATCGCTTTGGTTTCAATTGCCAAGAAAATTTCCCTGGCACAGAGGTGAGAATAGAAGAGGAAGCTCAGATTCGGATTTGAGGAGCCCTCGATTAACAGAGAATTATCTGTCAGGAAAAGAAATCTGCTGGAAAAGGGAACCAAGTGTCTCTCCAAGGTAGGGCTCGGGCACACAGCCCACCTCCGCGGGGGCTTCCAGATGGTTTTGCAGCCAGACAGCAAAAGGAAAGCTACTCTCTTCTCTGATACTCCCTCCTGCTACAGCTCTTTTATGAGATACATTTTTCAGGACATCTAACAGTGTTTGCACCTGGTAAGGAACTCACTAATGCAGGACAGAAATGGACACATCTCTTTACCAAAAAGGATGATGGTGTGAAAAACGATGTGTACGTGTGTTTGGGGGGAGCTGTGGGAAGTGGGTGGTGGAAAGTGGAAACTACCAACTTAGCACGGAGGAGGGAAAAGTTCCTCAGGCCTTCAATGTAGACCATCCCATGGTTTCCTCCAAAGTGAATGCCCCAGAAATTCTATCATGTTTCTTCCGGGTCCAGTAAACAACTCTCCCACCGGTCCTTAGGGAGTATGAAGATGAAACCAACTGCTCATCCTTGGGTATTTATTAGATGCCATTGCTGTTTAGTTCTTCACCGGACTGTAAGTCCCTTGTAAGTCCTTATCTACAGAGCCCACGTCTGCTACTCACTCTGTAATTTACCCCTCCTGCTGTGGCAGCTCTTCCCGCCAAAGTTGTCTTTCAAGTTAGCCAATCGGGTTCAGTTTAGATTGTGCGGTCCAACTCCAGCCAATGGAGGCAGGACACAGCAGTAAGGACAAGCTGCGTTAGGAATGAAAAAAACCCTTTCCCTCCTGTGTTCGGTGTGCTCTCGTGGCAACCAGTCCTGTGAGAAGCACCCTTCTGCAGAAGTAAATTTGCCTTGCTGAGAAATCTCTTTTTTGAGTGCTCGTTCTCCTTGTGACTCCTAGCTTTGCTTCCAACACAGGGAGTCCTGCCTTAATTCCATGCATCCTATTCTATTTATTCATCCATTTGTTCATTCAGGAATGCCCCACTCTGCCCTTCTCTGCCAAGTACCTTGCTAGGCTTAAGGGACACAGGCTTCTCTCTCCGAGGACCCTAAGCCGAAATCGTCAAAGCAAAACACATCCCATTTAAATATCATCATGCTAATTCAGACTTGATCATTCCAGCTGGTCAAAATCATTTGGATTCTTAATTCTGTGATCTCTGAATCTTTCTGTATTTTCCACATTCTCTACAATGGCATATATTACTTTTAAAAACAGAAAAACATTTTCACTTCCTGTTTAAAGTATAATGTTTTATAAACTAACTTAAGATATTTAATTTTTTTAGGAGCAAAGAAGCAAAATGGAACAGAGGTGGCCTACGGTCAGAGAGTTCATGGAAATTTGCTGGTCCTGCCTTGAACACTCAGACCTGAAGCACACATTCCTTTGCATGGCTGCAGTAAACAGCAGCATCAAGATCCAGGGTTGGAGACCACTCTCCAGTATTCTCCCGGCCTCCTTCAATAGTGATGCATCTTATTCCTCAAAGCAGCCATGACGGTTCATTCTTCAGATCAATAACTGCCTGCATAGCTATGTGCAACTGTGTCTTAGGCTACTCCACAGACTACAGTTGTTCTCTTAATGTCAAGAACACATTCTTGCATGATTATTGGATTAAACAATTGTCTTCTATCCCCACTCCCTTTCCCTACTCATAAGGAAAATCAATTTAAGGCATATCACATGAAATGCTTAATCCTTTGTGCAAAGATAAAGGAGGGTGCCCAGGACAGATGCAAAGAGTGGAAGAAGTGGGGACCACTCTGGGTGCAGGTGCAGTGACAGCTGAGGCTTCACATCCCACATCTGTACCCAAATATACCATTTCTGCCCACCCAAGCAAAACATTTTCCCAGAGTTATGCTTTAAGCCTTTACAGGGAGCTGGAGAATAAGAAGGGACTACTGATAACTTCAGGACATTATGTTTGAGTAAATATAAGAGAACCCAAGGTATGAGTCAACAAAGAGGGACCCTGGGTGCCCCGCCTGGTTCTCTGAGGATGGCAAAGACCAGCAATCAGAAAAGTCTCCTTGGGGGCTGGGCTCAGTGACTCACTCCTATAATTCCTGCACTTTGGGAGGGTGAGGTGGGAGGATTGCTTGAGGCCAGGAGTTCCAGACCACCCTGGGCAACATAACAAGACCCCATCTCTTTAAAAAAAAGTTTTTTAAATTAGCCAGATGTGGGCACCTGTAGTCCCAGCTACTTGGTGGGGGTGGGGGTGTGGGTGGGGGTGGGGGAGAGTGCTGAGTCAGGAGGGTCACTTGAGCCCAGAAGGTGTTCAGTGAGCCATAATCCTGCCACTGCACTCCAGCCTAGGCAACAGAACGAGACCCTATGTCTAAAAAAAAAAAAAAAGAAAAGAAAAGAAAGAAAAAGAAAACGTTCCTCAGGAAACTGTTCTGTTCTGTCAGCCCAGCACGAAATCCTGTGGCAGGAACATCATGGAAGTAGTTTTACACAGGAAGATTTGGTTGCTAGCATACCAGCCATACCATAAGGTTGCCAAGTGAGTGTAGCAATTGTGTAATTATTGTGGAAATGTAGTTCTCAACCACATCTTTCTTATGGTAATTAGTGTTGCTGGTTGAGCATATTATTATTATTATTGTACACTTCAAGTATTATTCCCCCTATATTCTTATAAGATTCAATAAGGCAGTAGTATTGCTGTGCTCCAGTTGTTTTTGCCTATAGAATAGGAATTAGTATACTTTCCATACACCTTAATGATAATACCACTATGAACTCTAGAAATAATTCCAGCATATAGTGTGCTTAGAATAAACTGCATTTACAAAAACAATACACTACACTAACGGTCTTTTTAACACGATGTCATACCCTGGTATGCACAAAAGCCAGTGGATCAGAAAGGCTGTGTTTAGAATGTACTCTACGGCCATATTTACAGAGGATGCAAAATACACACATGGACTCCATTTCACACCCCAACCAGGCCTGTTAAATGAACAATTAAGAAACAAGGCCCAGCACAGTGGCTCTCTCCAGTCATCCCAACACTTTGGGAGTCCAAGGCAGCAAGATCACTCAAAGGCAGGAGTTCAAGACCAGCCTGGGCAACATAGCAAGACTCCATTTCTACAAAAAGAAATTGTTAAAAATTAGCCAGGAATGGTGGTGTGCATCTGAGGTCCCAGCTACTTGGGAGGCTGAGGTGGGAGGATCACTTGAGCTGAGGAGTTCGACGCTGCAGTGAGCTATGATTCTGCCACCGCACTCCAGCCTGCGTGACAGAGTGAGACCTCATCTCTTAAAGAAAAAAAAAATCACACAAAATAAAGCCCTGGAAAAACTAAAAACTTAAGATTTTTAAGGGGATTATTTGCTCTGTGGTTGAGACGAAGCCATAAGAGAAATTTAAGAGATCCTTACAACAGCCAGGCGTGGTGGCTCACGCCTGTAATCCCAGCACTTTAGGAGGCCAAGGCAGGTGGATCACCTGAGGTCAGGAGCTCGAGACCAGCCTGGCCAACATGGCGAAACCCCGCCTCTACTAAAAATACAAAAATTAGCTGGGCATGGTGGCGGGCGCTTGTAATCCCAGCTACTCAGGAGGCTAAGGTAGGAGAATTGCTTGAACCTGGGAGATGGATGTTGCGGTGAGCCGAGATCGCACCACTGCATGCCAGCCTGGGTGGCAGAGCAAGACTCCATCTCAAAAAAAAAAAAAGAGAGATCTTACAACAGAGAAGACGCATTTCATTATAGTTTGAAATGAGTACAGTTTGGAGTGATGCTCCAAATAGTGTTGATACTTAGTGCTCTAACTGGAAAGTCTCCTGTATGAATTATTACCATCCATGAAGCCCCAGTGCCGTTTTCATTTGTTCCTCTCTCCTAGGCCTGATGTACCTTCCAGATCCCTTGTGAGAGCTCCTCTCCATGTCCCTAGCCAGTATGTCACTGCCACCTGAGCCGTGCAGGACAATGACTGCAGAAGGACATATGAAGTAAACCTACAGCATCTGCGTGTGAAGATGTAAGCTCATTGCTGACTCAGAGCTAACTGGCTTGGGGACAGCCTATGGATTTATCCTCCTCTGGAGTATGATTAGGAACTGGACCTAGTTCCTAATTATATTCAAGTAGCTTTGGTTGATAGCAGGTCCTCTGAAAACTTTATCCTGAAGCTCTTTCAACACCAAAGTTCACGTGGCAGCACCCGCTCCCCTCTGCTCTAGCAACTGGAATACGAATGTAGCCACAAAACATACAGGAAGTTTTCAGATTCACAGGAATAAATGTCACGGGGGGAGATGCCAAGATGCAGGATGCACAGAGACAAGGAGTGGAGAGGGAACTGAACGTCCAGGGAAAAGCGCTTTCATGCGGCACCTCCAGGGAGCAGGGAGAGGAAGCGCATCAAAAACTGCATGCACCATGTAAAAGTCCACTTCCTGATTCAACAAGGAAGACAAGTAAGAAAATCTTTACAAGTGGACAAATGCTAGCGGTGTGGCAATTGGGGGTCCCAGTAACGCAACCCACACACACTTTAAGAAGTATCTGTCCCATGGTGGGTTGTGACAGCTTGAAATCTATGCTGTTTGGGCATATGCCCAGCTAAAATGCAGATGGACACATCTTGAAACACCACAAGATAATCAACAGATATCTGTTGAATGAAAACCTATGGGAAAAGTAGGAGAAGGAGAAAGTGATGTGTAGTATTAAACATCTGTGAATCCAAAAACATTCTTGTGGCAATCCACGCAAAAAGCAACGATCGTTGTGCCCATTTTTCTTATGGATGCCAAAATCAGCTTCCTTGTAACTTTAACTCATTTTCTTTTTTTTTTTTTGAGACAGAGTCGCGCTCTGTCACCCAGGCTGGAGTGCAATGACACAGTCTCGGCTCACTGAAACCTCTGCCTCCCAGGTTCAAGCTATTCTCCTGCCTCAGCCTCCCAAGTAGATGGGACTATAGGCGCACACCACCATGCCTGGCTAATTTTTGTATTTTTAGTAGAGACTAAAAATGTTGTCCAGGCTGGTCTCAAACTCCTGACCTCATGATCCACCCTCCTCGGCCTCCCAAAGTGCTGGGATTACAGGCATGAGCCACCGCGCCCGGCCTTTTTTGTTTTTGTTTTGTTTTGTTTTTTTTGAGACAGAGTCTTGCTCTAGTCACCCAGGCTGGAGTGCAGTAGTGGGATCTCGGCTCACTGCAACCTCTGCCTCCTGGGTGCAAGTGATTCTCATGCCTCAGCCTCCTGAGTAGCTGGGGTTATAGGTATGCGCCACCATGCCCGGCTGTTTTTGTGTGTATTTTTTTTTTTTTTTTTTTTTGAGATGGAGTCTCGCTCTGTCACCCAGGCTGGAGTGCAGCAGCGCGATCTCAGCTCACTGCAAGCTCCGCCTCCCGGGTTCACGGCATTCTCCTGCCTCAGCCTCCTGAGTAGCTGGGACTACAGGCGCCCGCCACCACGTCCGGCTAATTTTTTGTATTTTTAGTAAAGACGCGGTTTCACCATGTTGGCCAGGTTGGTCTCGAACTCCTGGCCTCAAAGAATCCTCCCGCCTTGGCCCCCCAAAGTGCTGGGATTATAGGCGTGAGCCACTGCGCCCGGCCACTTCAACCCATTTTCAAACAGAGAAACTGAGGTTCAGAAAAATGAAGTAATGTTTTCCAAGCTCAGACCGGTAGATCAGGATGTGAACCTAGATCTGCCACACTTGAGAGGCCACGCTCTTCCCACTAAACCTGATTAGTCTGTGTATGCCAGCGTAAAAGAATTTCTCATCATTTTCTTGGGACAAACTTAGTTAAGGTAGAGGGTACACAAGGAGTGCTCTGCAGTGAGGGCAGTGAGTAACGTTGCGAGAGATGGCGAGGTAAATGAGAGCTTTCCTGGCTAATAATATTTCTCAGGTCTTACTGAATGTGAATAATAATAGTGGCTCTCATGAAAGGGCTTGCAGGGAGATGTGGTACAAATGGCCAAGTCCTCGAAAATGGGATAATTGAGTACATATGGCCTGCCTCGCAATCCTAAATAAAGCTGCTCTGTCATTCTAATGCCCCAAGGCCAACATAACATAGACCAACAGGCCTCCTGCCTTTAAATATTCAGGCTGACTTATAAAACAGCAACGACCTAAGCAAGGGCAACTTTAAAACCCCAACAGGAAATAAAAGACTTCTCCCTGGAGCATGAAGTCAAGCTGCCTCCTCAAATACAGTCGTACTCCTGTGCTGCAGAGTAGCTGGGGGTAAAAAGGATCCCTATTAAAAACATTCCTGCAGAAACATGGCAAAATGAGAAATGGATCCCCTTCCCCCCGCCCCCACGCCTCCTAAAAAGGGGGCTTGTCTCCCGCTTAGAACAGGCTTTAAATAGTAGATAATGACTTCTGGTAATGCTTAGCTTTGATTTCTTCAGGTGGTGAACCTAAGGAAGTGGAAAGCTGGTTTTATGTGAAAGCAGAGATCTAAGACCTGAAATTACAAGTCATTTATTGTAGTTATCCTCTGCCTCTAGGTTGTTGTCTTAAAAGTTACAAAGGTGCAATTATCCAGGTGGCTAACAACCTTTCTGAATTTAGAATTCCAGTGGTCACAGAAAAAACCATGGCAGGGCTGAAGGTTAGAAGCGATTGGAGGAATCTAAAAATACTAAGCATTCAGAACGCAGTCACAAGCCCTTACTAGCATTTAAATGATCTCTGTGTCCTCTCTACTAACATCTAACTGTTAAGGCAGGTCACTGTGCTTGCTCCATGATCAGGATTATTTTATTTCAAGCATAATATCATCCACATTATAACTGCTATGTTATTTCAAAATGAAACTGATCTAGACTATTTGTTGCGTGTTTAACTTGTAATACCTTAAAAATCAGGAGGCGAGGCAGTGTGTGTACTGAGACAGGACTGTATTTAACCCAGGGAGGTGGTCCAGACCCAAGAGCCAGCTCTGAGGCTCAACTCTAATTCTTAACTGTGTGGCCTTGAGCAAGCCTCTTAGCTGCTGTCGTCTTCAGCTGTCTTGGGTGTAAAGTGAAGATAATCCTGTCTCCTTTTTAGGGTTGTTCTAAAGAAATACTGGGCACAGGGTGTGGGCTTAATATGCTTTTTAAGAAATCAGTTACTTTTTCTACAAAACAAGAATAAAGAGGCATCAACAGGGGTCACACAATGACTTTCACGCCCTTTGGAAAACGTCCTGTACTGTGGTCCCATCAGTATTATGCCTTTACTCATACATTGTGATTTTAAGAACGTTTGAAAAACCCTATACCCTCAATCAGCCCTGCCTATATTTGAAATTCAACAATTAGATAGTCCATCCTTTGGATTAAAGCTGCGTTCTCTATGAAAAGGCAGGTTTCCACTCCGGAAGAGATAACAATAAAAATTCAGGCCTCTATCAATCATTTATGGTAACAATTTTTTACCCCTTTCTGAAAACAGAGAGAAAAAATGTATATTAAAGTAAGCAGGGGCTAAAGAAGGGAAGTAAAAGTCAGTCTCAAAGGGGAAAGAGATACAGAATTGGGAGGCTGGAGAAATTTATGAGTATACATGTACATTTCCATATACAAAGATATTGACACATTCTCTTGGGATGGAGATTGTGCCAGACAGCATCTGCTGTATAACCCTTGCATTAATGATATTCCAAAATATTTAGGATTTTAGCCACAATATTCCTTCCTCAAAGTCCCTAGAGCTGCAGAAGATTTAAATATTTTGTCTCGGAGATTATCAGAGCTCTAGACAAGATGAACCAGACTCAAGAGACCAGAAGGGAAATAAAGAGCAGTTCATGAAATTCCACTCCTGGTTGAATGCTGTGTGCTGCTGCAGTAGTCGCCCTACATCCTTTGCTGAGCATCTGTGAAAACGAGATTTAGGAGAGAAATGGGATTTGGGAATATCACCGCCCCTATCTTGGAAATTAAACACAAATAAGCCACTAAAGAAATAGTCGTGTGGGATTAACGAGAGTGTGCATTCCTTGTGGGTGTTAGAACAATCTCGTGAATTTTTTAAAATCCCATCGCACAATGATAGCACGGAAGTGTAGACACAGGATATGTTCCTTTCGATTTGCTGCTGACAGACTGTAAACTGCATGAGGGCAGAGGCCGGGTTTGTTTGGCTGACCATCAAAAATACCTAACACAAATTTGTGACACATATCTGCCCTTCAATAAATATTTGTGGATTGCATGAATAAATCAATGAACAAGTGGATGGGTGGATGGATGGATGGATGGATGGATGGATGGACAGATGGATGAGTAGATATGTGGATACATGGGCCAGGCACAGTGGCTCACTCCTGTAATCCCAGCACTTTGGGAGGCTGAAGCAGACAGATTTCTTAAGGCCAGGAGTTTGCGACCAAGCCTGGCCAACATGGTGAAACCCCATCTCTATTTAAACATACCAAAGGAATTGGCCGGGCATGGTGGCGCATGCCTGTAATCACAGCTGCTTGGGAGGCTGAGGCAGAAGAATCACTTGAACCTGGGAGGCGGAGGTTGCAGTGAGCCAAGATTACACCACTGCACTCCAGCCTGGGCAACAGAGAGGCCATCTCAAAAAAAAAAAAACCAAAGATATGTGGATATATGAACAGGTATGATGGATGAATAAAGAGACACATGGGTCAGATTATTTAAAACTGGAAACAAAGAAGCAACCTGAATTCTCCCCTAATCAACTACGCACTACCATCCAACATACACCCTGAGCACCACCACCCTCAAGAAGGGAGGAGGGAGGGAGGAGGGAGGGGAGTATATATGTGCACACTTGCGTGTATTTGCCCTCTGTTGGTACGAGGGCACCCTACCAGGAACAAGTGTAAGGACATTTAGATTTGCATCTGATAGAGACAGAAAATGATGAAAGTTTGAGGTTAAAAGGTTTCCTCACCAGTGCACCAGGAGTAAGGAGACCTGCGTCTTGCCTTAGCTCTGTCACCAGCCTGTGATCTGGACAAAGCAATTATCTTTCTGGACCTTAGTTTCTTCATCTGTAAAATGAATGAAGTGAACTTAGATGCCCTGAGGCCCCACCTAGTCTGTCCCCTGCTTGGGACTCCAGCCTCAGCTCAGCTCAGCTCAGCGGCCACACTCTCCCGCCTCCCCCGACGCTGCCGCAGGGGCTTCCTTTCCACCACCAGCTGCACACCACGCCTTCCTGACCCCCCGGTCTACATTAGAACCCCCGTTACACTCTCCAGAGCATCATCTTTCCTTTATCTCAGTTAGAACTTCCTAGTTATTTATTATTATTTGTTAAATGTCTGCCCACACCCTGACTGTAAATAACAACATTTACTGAGCACTCACAATTTTTTTTTTTTTTTGAGACGGAGTCTCTCTCTATTGCCCAGGCTAAAGTGCAATGGTGCGACCTCGATCTCGACTCACGCAACCTCCGCCTCCCAAGTTCAAGCGATTCTCCTGCCTCAGCCTCCCAACTAGCCGGAATTACAGGCCCCCACCACCATGCCCAGCTAATTTTTGTAGTTTTAGTAGAGACGGGGTTTTGCCATGTTGGCCAGGCTGGTCTTGCACTCCTGACCTCAGGTGATCCTCCCACCTTGGCCCCCCAAAGTGCTGGGATTACAGGCGTGAGCCACCGCACCCAGCCAAGCACTTACCAAATATTACACTCTGTTTTAATCACTTTACATCTTTATTTATTTTAATCCCTATATTAAATAACTTTGAGGTAGATGCTTTTATCATTCCCATTTTACAGATGAGGAAATTGAGGCCAGAGACACAAGTAACTTGTCTGAGGGCACATAGCATAGTAAGTACTGATCTGGAATTTGAACTCAGGCTGTCTGCTCCAGAGACTGCATGGACTCTGGTATCCTGATTTGAATCTCCCAAAACACAAGTACTGGAGGTCTGTTTTGCTCACCACTGTATTCCTGACACCTGGCACAATGCCTCAGTGAGGCAGCATAGTAAGCCCTCAACGAGTATCTGCTGCAAAAGGGAAGGATGTGTGGGTGGTAGGAGGAAGGGAGGGAGCAGGGGAGGAAGAGACAAGACAGGATCTCATTCCTTAGCTTTTTCTGCCCTCAGCTTGGCTAAAGTCATCTGCTTAAGAGAGAGCTGAGGCTGGAAACCACTGAGAAATGCTCAAATGTGAAAGTGAAATCCATCTGTGAAACTCCAGTACGCATGGGAGTGCTAATAATTTTGAGGACACCAGAAAAATCACACATTAATTATCCTGGGTGGTGAAACTGTGCCTAGTTGTCGTCTATATGGTGAACATCATTTACTTTACTTTTGGGCATTAAAATTTCAAAATATCTCCTGTGTCACTTTATATAAATACACTTCCCCGGGGGCACTTTAACTTTTGACTCTATCTTCTTCTGTCCTATTTTCATTCTTTATAATCAGCATGTATTACTCATACATTTTTATATCAAATACTAAAAATAAATCCTCAAAAATATATACCTTTTCTCCATTGCTTGACCCTGCTTCTCAAATCTTCCTAATGAATAACTTACACAGCCCCATCGTTAGCCATGAGACTTCTGAAGTGTGTGAGCACGTGTGTGTGTGATGTGTGTAAAAAAAACAAAGTTATAATTATATTGAATTAAAATAAAAGATCAGTCTCCACTGTCCTCTTCAAAGTGCTTTTCACTGGAAAAGCAATAACCTGGGAACGAAGCCTGCCCTGCCCCTCCTCAGATCTTCCTGGCTGATTAATCCTATTCAAAGCTAAGTGCTGAAGGATAATAAAGAGGTTTAAGCTATGCCACACACCAGTTCATTAAAAATAATAATTGTTCTCCTAGAAGGCCCATGGTTTATAAGAGGATTACAAGAATAGAAGCAGGAAGACTATGCAGCGCTTTCTTCTTACTTCTCAGGCCTGCAACATCTTGAGTGTGGAAGGTTGTTATTCAATCACCAAATATTTATGATGGGCCTACTGTGGGCAAATAATTGGTCGGGTGATGCAGAGGATTCTAATATGAATAAAATCTAATCCGTGCCCTCTGAGTGGCTCGACGCACTTGCCAACATCTCCAAATGCGGAACAGAATCAATGAGGAGTAGGATTTCTTATCTCAAAATTGTTCTTCCGCCAAACACCGAAGGAGCTATATTTTGTTCCTCTTAAAGAGTTTACCATCCAGAAGGGAAAAATAAGATAGAAAATAAATAGCTACAGCACACAGTACCTCTGAGGATAGGGGTAATAGGACCGTGGTCAAAGCAGGGTATGCTCGGAACCATTTGAGGTGACCGGCAATCATTTCCTTAAAAGAGTAGCCTTGAGAAAAGCTCTAATAGATGGGTAAGATTTTGATGGGATTTTGGTAGGAGCCAAGGAGAGTAATCAAAGTGAAGGAAGATGCACTTAAAAAAATATCCAAGGGAGAATTCTGAGGTCCGTTAAGCCACACCTGTCTGGCTTGGCTATGGCAGTGGTTCTCGGAAATCACCTGGAAACCCGTTAGAAATGCGAGTTCTGAGGCCCACCCCAGGTCTACTCTGGAGGTGGTGCCTGGAGCACAGTCAATGAAGGGGATATGGCTTGGAAAGGTGGGAGGAGACCGAGAGGTCTGAGGCATTTACACCCAGGTCACCATTCAACAGGAGAGCCAGGGAAGGGCTTTGAGCAGATCAGTGATATCATAAGAGCTGTGCTTGACAATCAACTCGGAAATATGCTGGAGGAAACACAGTGGAAGGTTGTTTTCAGAGCTATTAGGAATGGGAAGAAAATGGACTTAGGGAGCCCAGGTAGAAGCTTAGAGACAGGGGCTGTCATCCTAATCATTGCAAAGGGAAGTTCACAGGATGTATCCACAGAGTAGCTGCTGGGAGGAAACAAAAGACTATACATCTTATATCTCATTTACCAGGAAAATAGTGGTCTTGTTAAACGGGGTCTTCCTACAGGGACACCATCAAATCATTGTGTCCTTGGATCTGTCACCATAATATATAAGGCTCTAAAACCATACAAAACACTAGAAACAAATAGTTCTATCATCCTCCTGCCACAGAAGGACATCCTGAAGGACCTCGAGGATAACCTCAAGCCCCAGGCAAGGGCTCCAGTCCCTCCTTTTTCCACTTTGATTACTCTCCTTGGCTCCTACCAAAATCCCATCAAAATCTTACCCATCTATTAGAGCTTTTCTCAAGGCTACTCTTTTAAGGAAATGATTGCCGGTCGCCTCAAATGGTTCCGAGCACACCCTGCTTTGACCACAATCCTATTACCCCTATCCTCAGAGGTACTGTGTGCTGTAGCTATTTACTTTCTATCTTATTTTTCCCTTCTGGATGGTAAACTCTTTAAGAGGAACAAAACATAGCTCTTTCGGTGTTTGGCGGAAAAACAACACCTGACAGGCAGATGGGCCTTCCCAGGGCACTCGACATGCTCAGCCTCCTTCCCCCGGCCCTGAAGCGGAGCCCCAGGGGCAAAGAAGAGCCAGCTGTTGCTTAAGTGACCTCCGCTGAGGAGATCAAAGGAAGGATTTAGGAAAGGAAGATGCCCCTCCCCGTCAATCCTGAAAAATCACAGGCTCCTGTTTATGTGACCCACGTCTCCCAAGGAATTCAAGCAATGTGTAGTTCAAAGACCATAATCCACCTAGCGCATCTCACAAGGTCAGGTGGGAACAAGGTTGCCCACCATCACGACACGCCTCCTATTTAAATGACGGTGGAACTGAGGCGCAACAAACAAATGATGTTATTCCCATCTCAGAAAGACTACGACTCCCCAAAGTCAGTGCCAAATAAGCACTAAGAAAATATATGCATAATTGGAAAACACTACTAGCAGAGATTTTACTCACTTCAGTAAAAGTGACATGCAGCAGTGGTGATCTACCTAGGTGGCAGGTGGAGAAAAGAAACCTACTAGGGATATTCATCAAATGCAACAGGAATACAATGGTGGCTTTCTGAAGGATGTGTGTAAAGGAATCCCTCCTCCCCAGATCACACTGGTTCCTACATAAAATCCTAGTAGAGCCCATAAAAAGTAACAATGATTGAGGCCTCCCAACTAGTTGCCTTTATAAAATAGCCACTATTTAATTTTCCCCATAAGCTAAATGCCTTGGAGCCTTATATATGTTTAGATTATATAGTAACCTTGGGCAAACAACTGTTAAAATCTTCAACCCTCTCCTACACACACACACCCCCATACACATGTACTTCACAGAGTGAAGAAATTACCAGTATTTCTATTACAACAGATTTTGGCTTTTTGAAGAAACGCCAATACCTGATTACCAGCATTCTTATTCTTCTGGCTATATGGGAGCCAGGGCCAGCATTTCATTTGAGTCAGTTAAACATGGTTAACACTAACAGGCTAAAATATCAGATTTGAAAGTAAAAACCAGGCCAGGTGCAGTGGCTCGCACCTGTAATCCCAGCACTTTGGGAGGCCAAGGTGGGTGGATGGCCTGAGGTCAGATGTTCGAGACCAGCCTGGGCAACATGGCAAAACCCCATCTCTACTAAAAATACAAAAAACTAGCCAGGCATGGTGGCACATGCCTGTAGTCCCAGCTACTTGGGGGCCTGAGGCAGGACAATCGCTTGAACCCAAGGGGTTGCAGTGAGCCGAGTTTGCACCGCTGCATGAGGAAGACTCTGTGTCCAAAAAGAAAAAAAAAATTATTTTGTTTCCATAGAGTTTTGTTTGCAGTGTCACTATGTTACCAAAATCTAGGCAACTCTAACCCCATGCACCGTGCTCAGAGAGGGCCTCCCTTTCCATAACTGCCTCCTGCATCAAGCACTCTATGTAAACGGAAACTCTAAATCAATTCCAAATGAGGGGCAAATTTTAAAACTGTGCCACCACGATGAATTAGGCCTCTCCAAACCTGAACTGCAGTAGAAATTAGGTTCAAAGACGAGATAATGGCCTTATATGGAAGAAACTACCATACGCCTTCCTACAAAATCACATTTTCCTACAGAAATCAAATGACCCAGTGTCCTACGTGGAATGCTTTAACAATTCTAGTGGTATTATTTTGATATTATTTTCAAAAGTCCATGGAAAGTTCATAAATGATCAGTCAGCAGCAAAAAGAAACTTTCTGGCGTCCATGTCATTTTCTAGCGCCCCATGGTCCAGGTCCTAACACGATCAATGGACGCAGCCCTGTCTCTGCTCTGAATCTTTCTCTGCCATTGATTTGCCAGTTGTTTCATCAGATGGCAGCCTTGGCCTACTGTGCCTGAGTTGCTGCCTTCATAAAGAACAAGTAAGTTGTCATAAATCTGGCGCAGTGGAGGGACGCTCTGGCGACAGATGACTCAGGTTTGAACATGGGCTTCTCCACTTACTTGACTTCTCTGTGCTTCAGTTTTCTCATCTGTAAAACTGGGATGATAACAGTACCTACATCTCAGAGGATTGCTGTGAACATTAAATGATGTAACACATATAAAGTGTTTAGAACAGGATCTGGTTCTTTGAAAGCTCTTAACGCATGATGACTATTATTACATTCCTAAAATGAGAAAAAAATATGAAATTTTGAAAAAAGGTTATTTAAAAAGGAAAGCCTAAGCTTTCCGGTTTATTTAAAAAGGAAAGCCTAAGCTTTCAAACCAATTGAAACAGACTGAGTCATATGATTGTCTTTGGTGAACACAATGGCAATAAGAAGTCAAGTACCAAAGGAACATAAATCATTCTACCATAAAGGCATATGCACACGTATGTTCACTGCAGCACTATTCACAATAGTGCAAACATGGAATCAAGCTAGATGCCAATCAACAGTAGACTGGATAAAGAAAATGTGGCTCATATACACCATGGAACACTATGCAGCCAAGATCATGTCTTTTGCAGCAACATGGATGGGGCTGGAGGCCATCATCCTAAGCAAACTAACACAGGAACAGAAAACCAAATACCGTGTGTTCTCAATTATAAGTGGGAGCTAAACAATGAGCACACATGGATACTAGGAGGGGAACAACAGACACCAAGACCTACTTTGAGGGTGGAGGGTAAGAGAAGGGTGAGTCTCAAAAACTACCTATTGGGTACTATGCTTACTACCTAGGTGATGAAATCATCTGTACAGCAAATCCCATGACACACAACTTACCTGTATCACAAACCTGCACAGTGCCCTGAGACTAAAAGTAAAAAAAAATTATCTGTTGGGTGTAATGTTCACTATTGAGGTGATGGGTACACTAGAAACCCAATCCCCACCACTACAGAACGGGACACGTGCACCTGCACACGCACCCCCCAAATCTGTGATACCACACAATCAATAAATACATAGAAGAAGTCAAGTATACTAGAGATGAGAGTTCACAAACTCAGGCCTGTTATCTTTAGACTCCTCTCCCCAAGAAGGAAGAGTTACTGTGGGCTCTGGAGGCCCCTAAAATAAACATACCTCTTTCCTCCCTCCTGGAAGTTTATATTATTTTAAAAAGTCATCAGTATAGATGATCATTTAGCAGGAGACAGAGTTTGAAAACTATGTAACTTAGTTTATTCAAGGATGATTTATATAATAAATTCTTAAGACAGATATATGAGAATCAAATTTTTACAAAATATCTCAAAATTAAAAATGTTTTTAAAGTAATGTATGCCCTTTTAGGAAACACAGTTTACTAGGGGAGACCAGCAGCCATCAATATTATTCTCTGCTAATATTGTAGCAAGCATCCTTTTTTTTCTTTCCTGTGAAGTTTTAAACTGTCTAGACCAGAAAATACTTACATTTGAGGTTATATCCTGCTTTTTTATCACTTAGCATTAATTATATCATGAGCACGTCCCCTGAAACATGGGAAACATTTTACAAATGTTATTTTAAGAGACCACACAGCATTTGATCAAATAGATTGATCATAATTTCTGTAACCATTTCCCTAATGCTGAACATGCAGCTTCTTTCTAATTCTTTATAATTATTTTTTTTAAATGCTTCAGGAAATACTTTTGTGCATTAATCCTGGTAGTTAGGATTATCCCCTTAAGATAGATTCCCAGAAATAGAACTACCAGGTCAAGGAGTAAGAATAATTTTAAGGTTCATCACACTGCTTTCCAAAATGGTATTAATTTATCCTTCATTATATGAAAGAATATCACATTTTACAAAATCTTTGTTAAGCTGCATCAAAAATGGTAGCTTACTGTTGTTTCGATTTGCATTTATTTGATTACTAATGAAGTTGAACAATTTTTCTTGCGTTTGGTAGCCATGTGTGTTTGTTTCCCCTTTTGCAAAGTCAGTTCAACTGCCTTTGTCCCTTAAACTACTGCGGTCTTAATGTTGACATTAGCAATTTGTATTAAAAATTCTATATTAAAGATATTCATGCTTCGTTGTAATTTTTTACATTCTCTGCAGATTGTCGCCTGCCCTTTGATTTTGTCAACGTACAAATGTTTTCTGATATACAGAGTTTAATTTTTATGTAGTCAAACCTGTCTATATTTTCTCTTGTGATACCTTCTATTCTATCAAGCTTAGAAACTTCTTTATCCATATATTTCCTTCTAGATTTTTTTATATATATTTAATCCTTTTTGTTTGCTTGTTTTGAGACAAGAGTTTCACTCTTATTGCCCAGGTGGGTGTGTAGTGGTGTGATCTCGGCTCACTGCACCCTCTGTCTCCTGGGTTTAAATGATTCTCCTGCCTCAGCCTCCCGAGTAGCTGGGATTACAGGCGTCTGCCATCACGCCCAGCTAAGTTTTGGATTTTTAGTAGAGATGGGGTTTCACCATGTTGGCCAGGCTGGTCTCGAACTCCTGACCTCAGGTAATCCGCCCGCCTCGGCCTCCCAAAGTGCTGGGATTTTACTCTTTTCAATGTTGGGAGGTAACTTCTCCCCAGCATTCTACCCAAATATTGGTGGCATCTTATCACAGGAAGAGCCAGATTACAAATGAACAAATATTCATATTTATGCATATCTGGTTCTTATCTCTTTTTTTTTTTTTTTTTTTTTTTTTTTTGAGACAGAGTCTTGCTCTTGTCACCCAGGCTAGAGTGCAGTGGCACGATCTTGGCTCATTGCAACCTCCGCCTCCCAGGTTCAAGCGATTCTCCAGCCTCAGCCTCCCGAGTAGCTGGGACTACAGGCACCTGCCACCACACCGGCTAATTTTTGTATTTTTAGTAGAGATGGTGTTTCACCATCTTGGTCAGGCTGGTCTCGAACTCCTGACCTCAGGTGATCCACCCACCTTGGCTTCCCAAAGTGCTGGGATTATAGGCATGAGCCACCACGCCCAGCCTGGTTCTTATCTCTTATAGGGAGACTGAGGCATCATAAGCCTAAGGGAAAATGACTACTTTCTTCAAATCAAAGAGTATTTTATAAGAATGCTGAGATTTTAATAGACATCTGTAAGAAATGTAAAAAAAAAAAAAAACAAAACAAAACATTCAGGGAAAACTTATAGGAAAAGATGTCCTATGTATAAAACCAAAGTGGATACTGGAACAGGAATTAGGAATTGGTGTTCTCAAAGTTGGCAGAAGGTACTCCCGGGAAAATGAGAAGCTGTTTCCAGTGCAAGTGCAGTGCCGTGACTGCTTGTGGGATGTGCTAATGGGCACCTGTGAGGCTGCTGCCCTGTACCCTCCAATCTAGAATCCAGGCTAAAGACCCTGCAGCCAGTGTTACAGGAAAGATTACAAACCAAATGGCTTAGTTCTGATAAGACCTAGGCAAAAAAGAAGGAAGAAGTCCTGACAAGAGAGTCCCAGCAATCTGAGCACCCGGCTGTGGAGCCCTCGGGGGAACATCCCATAGGCTGCTGATATGGTCTGGCTGTGTCCCCTCCCAAATTTCATCGTGAATTGTAGCTCCCTTAATTCCCACATGCTGTGGGAGGGACCCAGGGGGAGATGACTGAATCATGGGGGCAGTTTCCCCATACTGTTCTCATGGTAGTAAGTCTCACGAGATCTGATGGTTTCATAGGTTAATTTCATCTTGAATTGTAGCTCCCATAATTCCCACGTGTTGTGGGAGGGACCGGGGAGGAGATAATTGAATCACGGGGGTGGTTTCCCCCCATACTGTTCTCACGGTAGTGAGTAAGTCTCACGAGATCTGATGGTCTCATAGGAGTTCTCCTCTTTCACTTCACTCTCTTTCTCTCTTGTCTGCCACCATGTAAGACGTGACTTTCACCTTCCACCATGATTGTGAGGCCTCCCCAGCCACATGGAACTGTGAGTCCATTAAACCTCTTTGTCTTTATAAATTACCCAGTCTCATGTGTGTCTTTATCAGCAAAGTGAAAACAGACTAATATGACTGCCTTCAACTTTGTTAACACACAACCTTCCAGCTCTAGAGAGGACAGGTCTCCTCCCTGCCACAGAGAAGGCGCAAGGTTCTAACTTCTGGGGGATCACACAGGTGGTAGGGGGCTTACCTCTAATTTAGGAGCCCCTTGAGAAAGAAAACTCTCAGCGGACATCTAGAACAAGAACACTCCACAGCCTGAGGTTCACGAACCCTGAGATCACCCAAATACCCATTTCCAGCACATCCAATTGTTAGTGTAAAATCGTCTGTAAACATTGCTTCTTTGTGGCTCAAGAATAACAGTGAGATAAACTTTAAATGACAGTTTGCTGTTTTGTTATGGAAATGTTAACAAGGTGTGTTTGGCCTAGGAAACATCATTATCTTTTGTTTTCCTGGGGAAAATGATATTGAAAAGTTAACCAGAGTTCACTTTCCAGACCTGGAATAACATAAGAAGAGATTTATTATATCATATTTCCCAGGATTTGAACAAAAGCATCAACAATGCAAGATAATGACAGTTCACCATTTTTATTATGGTAAAATACATGTAAACTTGACTATATTAGCCACTTTCAAGTGTGCAGTGGCATTCAGTACGTTCACATTGCTACGCAACCATCACCACCATCATCTCCAGAACTTTTTCATCTTCCCGAATTGAAACTCTGTATGTTAAACAATAACTCTCCATTCCCCTCAACTCCAGCCCCTGACAACCACCATTCTACTTCCTGTCTGAGTCTGATTACTTTATGTACCTCGTGTAAGCAAAGCCATACAACATTTGTCCTTTGTGACTGGCTTATTTCACTTGGCATCATGTCTCCAAGGTTCATCCATGTTGTAGCCTGTTTCAGAATTTCACTCCTTTTCTGAACAATATTCCATTGTAAATACATAGACCACATTTTGCTCATCCATCCATGATGGACACTGGGCTGTTCCCACCTTTTGGCTACTGTGAATAATGTTGCTACGAACATGGGTGTACAGATATTTGTTTGAGTCCCTGCTTTCAATTCAACTGGGTTTATACCAGAAGTGGAACTGCTGAATCATATGTAATTCCTTGTTTAATTTTTTGAAAAACTGTCGTATCATTTTCCAAAGCAGCTGCATGATTTTACATTCTCAGCAGCAACACACACATGTTCAGTTTTAAAATCTGTACATCTTTGTAAGAGGAACTAACTTGGGAGCTAGTTCCTTAAAACATATCTTCGTCATCAGTTTGCAAAGCACAGAGGGAAAGTTGAAATGTCTCTCTGAATTGAGCTATTCAGTCAAAACCAAACATGATGGTAGGAAAGTAAGATCTTGGGACAAATAGGGGCTATTCGAGAGAGAGGTGGGCTTTGCTGGTTCCCAAACTGGCCTCACTTCCTGCCTACTCTCCCGGCTTCACCGACCACACCCCTGTTCTACTGTGTCTTGAATTTGCCTCTTTTTTTTTTTTTTTTTTTTTGGAGATGGAGTTTCACTCTTCTTGCCCAGACTGGAGTGCAATGGTGCGATCCAGGCTCACTGCAACCTCCACCTCCTGGGATCAAGTGATTCTCCTGCCTTAGCCTCCCAAGTAGCTGGGATTACAAGCGTGTGCCACCACACCTGGCTAATTTTTGTATTTTTAGTAGAGATGGGGTTTTGCCATGTCGGCTAAGCAGGTCTCGAATTCCTGACCTCAGGTGATTCGCCCACCTCGGCCTCCCAAAGTGCTGGGATTACAGGCATGAGCCACCGCGCCCGGCCTTGAATTTGCCTCTGATTCCAATTTCAGTGTTGATTAACCTCATTCATCCTCATCATTCAAACTTGAATTTCCTCAAGATCAGAAAAATAATCCTCAACCACAATTTTCATCATATCATCTAGAGCTCAAAAACATGAATTCCACATCCTTTGCCTGTTCTTCAAGGCCCTTAACCAACTTTCCCTATCATGTGTCTAATAAATGTTCTAATAACTCTTTATTATCATCTCTTATAGCCACGAAAAGTGTGTTACACTCTCATCAACCTCCCCCTCTCCAACATAATTACTCAAACCCACTCAGAAAACTGAAACACCAAGAGCCTTCCAATCCACATTCTCCTAAAGTACAGGTGGGTGTACTGAGACTTCTGTCAAGACAAGAACCTGAACCTTCTCTTGTACTGTCTCTCAAGCTGGTTAAAAGAAAGCGACCACAGCAATACTCCTCTGCATTAACCAAACCACTAGTTATGCCTAGTGTCAAAGGTCTTTTTTTGTATAAATGTATGGGGTCCAAGTGTAATTTTGTTACATGGACATATTCCATATTGGTGAAGTCTGAGCTTTGAATGCATCCATCACTGGAATAAACTACATGGTGTCCATTCAGTAATTTCTCATTCCTCATCAACCTGCCCCATCTTTGCAATCTCCACTGTCTGTCTTTCTCTATTGTCCATGTGTACACATTATTTAGCTCCCACTTATAAGTGAGAACACGCAGTATTTGTCTTTTTGTGTCTGACTTGTTCCACTTAAGATAATGGCCTCCAGTTCCAGGCAAAGATCTTATCATCTTTTCTTCTAGAGAATTAAATTACTTAGAAAAGTACCTGGCTTGGCTGAGTGCAGTGGCTCACACCTGTAATCCCGGCACTTTGGGAGTCCAAGGCGGACAGATCATGAGGTCAAGAGATCGAGACCATCCTGGCCAACATGGTGAAACCCTGTCTCTACTAAAAATACAAAAATTAGCTGAGCGTGGTGGTGCGCGCCTGTAGTCCCAGCTACTCTGGAAGCTGAGGCAGGAGAATCACTTGAATCCAGGAGGTGGAAGTTGCAGTGAGCCAAGATCGCGCCATTGCACTCCAGCCTGGGCTACAGAGAGAGACTCTGTCTCAGAAAAAAAAAGAAAGAAAGAAAGAAAAAAAAAAGTATTTGGCTTTTTATCCAACATTACCATAGTTCCTTTGGTGATGATGATGATGATGATATAATAATACTCTTTGCATCTGATGTCACTTTAATTGACAAAACACTTCTGCTATTTCATTTGATTCTGTCTGAAAGATAAGCAGGGCAAGTACTAAGAGTCCCACTTTACAGAAGGCCAAGTTAGAGATACGTAACTTACTGCCTGGCTAAGTAACAAGAAAGGAAGTTAGACTAAAACCTCCAGGTGTTTGGACTACTGACGTCATGACCTCTCACCTTTGACTCCTACACCCCCTTTCAAGCTCACTTTCTCAGAACAGCTACTGTCGACAGAATTCACTGGGCTGCCTTTCACCTCACAGATGCAGGGAGCTTATTGTATCCCAGGGAGTAACTTATTAAGGCTGTTTAGCTGGTTTAGCTGCACCCAAATAAAGCAAAAAATGAAGAAACTCAGTAAGGTGCTCGCAGACAACATTTAACCCAAGGTTACGGAAGCAGGGTCCATTCTTTGCGAAAGTGGCTTTTCCTTAACTGTCGAGGCTGTAGCCGGCATCACTAGAACCCAGCTCGGCCCATGACTCATCGAAGGGGGCATTCTGTTGATGTGGCTGTTATTTGGAAAATTAGCGCACGTGGGAGAAGGGACCATCTTAAGAAAATATAGGGCCAGGCGCAGTGGCCCACGCCTGTAATCCCAGCACTTTGGGAGACCAAGGTGGGTGGATCACGAGGTAAGGGGTTCGAGACCAGCCTGACCAACATGGTGAAACCCCGTCTCTACTAAAAATACAAAAATTAGCTGGACGTGGTGGCGGGCACCTGTAATCCCAGCTACTCAGGAGGCTGAGGCAGGAGAATTGCTTGAATCCGGGAGGCGGAGGTTGCAGTGAGCTGAGATCACGCCACCGCACTCCAGCTTGGGCGACAGAGTGAGACTCTGTCTCAAAATAAAATAAAATAAAATAAAATAATAAAAAGAAAATATAAATAGCTTTTCTTTAACTCTCAAGGTTGTAGCCAGCATCACTAGAACCCAGCTCAGCCCATGACTCATCAAAGGGGGCATTTTGTCGATGTGGCTGTTATTTAGAAAATTAGCACACATGGGAGAGGGGATCATCTTAAGAAAATATAAATATTAGAAATACAAGTGAATAAACTGGTGGTAAATGGAATCCTTGAAGCTGGTCTGTAAATTGCCAGATGACAGCTCATTCCTGTGACACACAGTTGGAGTGTCCCACTCCTTCAGACTTTGCTGAGAGAAAAGACAGACCACAGTGTTTGTTGATTGACACAAAGCTGACTTTTGGGGTAATGACAGCCTCAGAAAGCATGTTTAGATCCACTTAGTCCCAACACAACTTGTACCTTTCGATTTTATCCAGACCCCCCTCCCTTCCTTGTGCTATTCTTGAAGGTTGGAACCAGGTTTCATTAAGTATCTCCGCCACCTGATTACCTGAGGTCAGGAGTTCGAGACCAGCCTGGCCAACATGGCGAAACCCCATCTCTACTAAAAATACAAAAACTAGCCAGGTGTGGTGGCGGGTGCCTGTAATCCCAGCTACCCGGGAGGCTGAGGCAGGAGAATCGCTGGAACCCGGGGGGCAGAGGCTGCAGTGAACCAAGATTGCACCACTGCACTCCAGCCTAGGCGACAGAGCAAGACTCTGTCTAAAAAAAAAAAAAAAGTATTTCCACCACCTTAGCACACAGCAGAATGTCAAAAATGTGAGTTGAATAAATTTGAATTGAATGATTAGCATAATCCCAGAGAAGCAATAAAAAATTTGGCTCTGAACGCTAACTATGGATTTGGATGTCTAGGATTCCAATCTGGAATCCCCTGATCTCCCATTGTACTGGGCTGCAAATAGCCACAGAAATGTCTAATTAAGTGCTCTGGGCAGACTTCTGCAGTGCAAGCAAGACGCTCTCTATCTGCTACAGCAATAATAAACCTCTGTCTACCATCTCAGATTTAGGAGGAAGCAACCTGGCAGCCACACTCGCCAAAAACAATTCACCACTCATTACACAGCCACTGTTTTCTCAGAGATATAAGGTTTGGGTGCACCTCCGTTTATAGTAAAAGAATCCCTGAGAAGTTCATTTTAATTGCATCAATGAGAAACTGCTCTCTTGAAGGTAACAATGGCTAGATTATTTTGTGATGAGAAGTAACACTCCATATTTAATTTGTTGCATAAATTCAGATTTTAAAATTTTGACTCCTATTTTTACACAGGACAGATGAGTACATTTGATTTTCAATACTTTCCCCCAAGATTTTAAAATCAAATAGCAGATGAAAGAACATTAAAAGTGAACCTGCTTCCCCAGAGATTATAAAGACACATTTGTGTACCTGTGTGCACAGATGACGACGCACATGTGTACACACAAACGCCAAGGCCAGAGTCTAAAGCCAACCCAGGATCCACTCTCCATTCTCATTCAATGTGCTATAGGGCTGAGCTATTTCTTGCAATATGTCCAAGATGTTTTAAGACCTGGCCTGGAGCTCATGTTACAAAGTATTAAAGTTCACCTTGACACTCTACCATTCAATTTGCCTTTGTGATTAGTGCCCCAAAAGGGAATATCCTACAAGTTCATTCCATCCAGTGACTTCTACCTTGTGTCACTAGTCTTGGATTTTGGTAAAAATAAGTCTAGCATCTCACTTCCCCCCACTTTCCCAGAGCTATAACTGATCCTTGGGGGACTTGGAGGAAAACCACAGGTATACTTAAGAAAGCTCAAAAAAAAAAAAAAAAAAACAACAACTCCCACCCATACCTGTTGCAGGAGGTTAGGGGTCAAGATGTAGGAAAAAATCCAATGAAAGCAAGAATGTAGTCAAAAACAGAGAGATGGCTTCATCAAATAACTATATGACAGTACCCCAACAAAAAACTCCATCACTCTGTCTGCCCTTCTGACAACCTGCTTGGCAGCTGTGCCCTGGTGCCATTATGGCTTAATCGTGTCATACCGCCAGGTCTTTCTCTGATGCTTAATTTGCTTTGTTCCCCAACCCCATGCAGGTGAGGAGGTCAAGCTTTCTTCTGATGAGTGCCAAGGCCCTGGAGTCCATCTCACACCTGCAGGTTGCTTCTGTGACAGTTCTCCCACCCTCAGAAGATGTGTTAGAGATTCTGTCAGGATCTCCAACTCCAGCTTGCTCATGTGCCAAATTCTTACGTCAGTCTTTGCAATCTTGATTCTACCCAGCATGTGACGGCCACTACATATGCTTTGTTAGAAAATGAAGGACAGAAAAGAAAATCCACAGTGGTCATTCTAAGTCTATTTTCTTGAAACCTGAATGAGTCTGGAAAATTTCTTTATGCAAGAAAAATGAGTGATCTTAACTCGAAATGGACCATAGACCTAAGTGTTGGAACCAGAACTATAAACTCTTAAGACAAAAATCTGGAAGTAAATCTTCATGATCTTGGATTAGACAACTTCTTAGATACCAAAAGCAATAAAAGAAAAATTGATCAACTGGATCTCATCAAACAGAAAACTATTGTGCTTCAAACAACACCATCAAGAAAGTGAAAAGATAACTCACAGACCAGGAGAAAATACTGGCCAATCATATATCTGATAAGAGACTTATACCCCAGGATATATTAAAGACTTACAACTCAATAACAACAACAAAAATAGCCCAATTAAAAAACACCAAAAGGTTGAATAAATGTTTTTTCCAAAGAAAATATATGAATGGTCAATAAGCACGAAAAGATGCTATACCTCATCGGTCATTAGTGAAATGCAAATCAAAGCTACAGGGTGATACTAGCATCGAAAGCCTCATCTGTTGCTGGGAGGAATATAAAATGGTGCTGCCATTTGGGAAAAGAGTTTGGAAGTTTCTCAATGGGGCCGGGCGTGGTGGCTCACGCCTATAATCCCAGTACTTTGGGAGGCCGAGGCGGGTGGATCACGAGGGTCAGAGGTTCAAGACCATCCTGGCTAACACGGTGAAACCCTGTCTCTACTAAAAATACAAAAAATTAGCCAGGCATGGTGGCACGTGCCTGTAATCCCAGCTACTCGGGAGGCTGGGGCAGGAGAATCACTTGAACCCAGGAGGTGGAGGTTGCAGTGAGCCGAGATGGCGCCACTGCACTCCAGCCTGGGCGACAGAGTGAGACTCTATTTCAAAAAAAAAAGTTTCTCAAAATGTTAAACATAGAATTGCCATATCAACTACCAATTCCACACCTAGGCATCTATCCATAAGAAATGAAACCATATGTCCACACAAATTGACACACAAATGTTCATAACAGCATTATTCATAATAGCCAAAAACTAGAAATAGCCCACATAGCCATCGACTGGTGAATGGATATACAGCATGTGGTATGTTTATACAGTGGAATATTACCAGGCAATAAAGAGAAATGAAGTACTGATACATGCTACAACAGGGTGAGCCTTGAAAACACTGTACCAACTCAAAGAAGCCATCTGCAAAAGGCCTCAGATTGTATGACTTTGTTCATGTAAAATGCTACAAAAGGAAAATCTACAGAGACGGAAAGCAGATTAGTCTTTTCCTGTGCCTGGGAGTGGAGTAGGGTGAAGACTGACTGATAATGGGCCATTTCCTTGTGGAGTGACAGAAATGTTCTAAAATTAGATAGTGATGATGGCTGCAGACCTGGCAATAAATGGAAATGCACCGAGCTGGACATTTAAAACAAGTGAATTTCATGGCACATAAATTGTCTCAATAAAGCCATTTTTTATAGAAGAATGATCTCAGATTCCTAATTGGCCAAGAGTTAGGCCCGCACACGTTTAAAACAGGTGAATTTTATGGCACATAAATTGTATCTCAATAAAGCCACTTTTTGGAAGGGAATGATCTCAGATTCCTAACTGAACAACAGTTAGGCCTGCACCCAAACTATCTGGTCCTCAAAATTAGCATTAGCTAGCATTAGCACGGTCGCCAGCATCTCCTCCTCTGCCATCTCACTGTCCCTGCCTCCTTTTTCTGTCTCACAAAGCTGAGACTAGAGGGCTCTTGTCATAAAAAAATAGACCCAACAGTCTGCAGTTTCCCTAAAAATCACCATTTCCCAAGAAAATCAGTCCTAAAAGAAATCGAAGGAATAAACCAAAAACATGAAGTACTTTGAAACCTGTCGCTAGGTTTTCCTACAGCTCATAACCAACCCAGCCACACACACACCGCAGGTCCTTTCCGAACATGGCCAGCTGTAGCCATGTTTATTTTTGCCTGGGCTATAATATAATGGAAGAATTTTTTTTTTTGGCTTTTTTTTTTTTAACTTTACTACGTTTTTCTCTCCTGAATTCTCCTGAGCTAATGTGATACAATCTTGAAAATTTACACCATAATGAGATCAAGAGGCATTGGCAACAGCCTCTGTAGTAAATTGGCATCCGTGCTAATCGATAACCTACTTTCAAATGAAAAGACGCAGACCCAATCCATCCTCTACACCAAGGCTGCCAAGCAACAGAACACGCCGCCTTCTCAGGGTGAGAGCTAATTGCTGCTCTCACAAAGACAGGGGCAATCTTATCCAGGTGATCCATTAGCTGGAAACTACTAGAAAGGGAGCAAGAAAGAAGGGGGGGAAATCGGGGTAAAGAGGTTAAACAGCACAAAAGTGATTTCAAGGGAAAAAAAAGGGCTTGAATTTGTATGTGAAAGAGATAATGGCACGAAACTTTAATGCAGAAAGGTCGCTGAGAGCTTTGGCAAATTCCTCTCTGGCACAACCACTGTTGCAGCTCTCAGGCCTCTCAATGTCTGACAGGGTCTGTCACAGACTGGGACAGAGAAGAAGGGGGTGCACAATGTCCCCCACCCTATCTTGCCCACAAAAGAGAATAGGAATCCTGCAGTTGGTGTTCAAGGTTACAGTGGACTGTGATCGTTTCACAGCACTCTAGCCAGGGTGACAGAGCAAGGCCCCACCTCTAAAAAAGAAAAAAACAAAAAGAATCCTGCAGCAGTGACTCTAGAAGGACCCCAAATCCTGCTGTGGTCACGAACAAGTGTATGAATGTCTCTGTAGCTCGGCTTCCTTCTCTTCCCCCACCCCTACCCCCACCACCACCATTTCCATGGTGACCACTGGCCCATGAGCCACAGGCAGGAAAACTAACACAGTACTCCGGACCACATGAGCACAGCTGAAGATTTTTTTAAAGTGACCACAAATCCCCTCTCTTAAAGGACTGGGCCACATTTAGTCAAGGTCACAGTTCAGGAAATAGAAACTGGAGATGATAGCTAGCACCTACTGAGCATTTACTTGGGCTAAGTATTTTAAAAGAGATTATTACCTCATTTGCCTATAACCCTGAAAGGAAGGTGTTCTCCCCATTTTACAGATGTGGAAGTTGAGGAAGGACACAGTTGAGTAAGTTGCCCAAGCTGCAGGACTATTTAAGAGGAGAGCCAGAATTAGAACGCAGACTCCCTGGACTCCAATGGCCACACTCTTAACCACTCCTCTCTCTCTCTCTCTCTCTCTCTGCTACCTGCAGGATCTGAAGCTGAATGTTTACCCCAAAGAGAAAGATACATGAGTCTCTCCTACTCTTAGAAATGGGGGAGGATCTGACATCCTCCAATATTTCATAGGAAGACGAAAGTTCCAGTGAAGCCAAATGTTTCAAAAGCAAAATATCTCTGATACTTCTTTAAAAGCATGGCGACAGCCTCTTGCCTGTCTCCAGCTGAGATCTTGCTTCGAAATTCCCTTGCTGCTGCCAGCGATTATCCAGGCACACAGACATGGTCCTCTTACAGTTCTTCATCAGGATGCAGGGGGTGGGGTCCCTGGCCAGGCCCCCCAGGCGCTGCCTCCTCTGCTCACTGTCTTTGCCCTCACCACCCAGGCCCGCACAGGCCATGCGCCAGGTGCTTCATGCCTCACTGCCTCTGCCCCGCAACTGCAGCTCTCCAGAACATCCTGTCCACCCTCTGTCTCCAAAGCAAACACCTGCTTGTCCTCGTGGCTCAGATGAAAGGTCCACCCCTGGTCTTTCTGACACCTCCTGGATTACCCGAATTCTACCCACCCACTCTTGTGCCACAGCCTTTACGACAGTTGTTTGCTTGTTTACACACTTATCTCCCCTCCTGGTTGGTAAACTTCTCACGACCAATGTTGGGGTCTCCTTTGTTTTTGTTTTGTTTTTGAGTCGGAGTCTCGCTCTGTCGCCCAGGCTGGAGTGCAGTGGCGTGATCTCGGCTCACTGCAACCTCCACCTCCTGGGGTTCAAGTGATTCTCCTGCCTCAGCCTCCCGAGTAGCTGGGACTACAGGCGCGCACCACCACGCCCGGCTAATTTTTGTATTTTTAATAGAGACAGGGTTTCGCCATGTTGGCCAGGATGGTCTCAAACTCCTGACCTCAGGTGATCCACGCGCCTCAGCCTCCCAAAGAACTAGGATTACAGGCATGAGCCACTGCGCCCGGCCTCCTTTGTTTTTGAATCCATAGTATTTAACACAGAGAAAGTGGCACATATTGGGAGCCTGATAAATGTGTGATAAATGAATACGTGAATGAATGACTTAATGAGGTCACGTGGATCTTTCTCTTTAAAGCATTCTCTGGAGAATTTCAAACGCTATTTTATTTAAAAATATTTTAGAGTGGAGAGGGGGAAATGGGAGCCAAGAGAACTATTTGCTGCTTTCACAAAGACAGGGGCAGTCTTTTTAAATGTCGTTTTGCCTATTTACAAGTTTTCATTAAATATCTCTAATGCTTAGAATATCTGTCAAATATGAACATTTGTATACAGCTTAAAGTACAAATGTCAGTAATTATTTAAAAAAAAAAAACATGGTTAAGAATTGTTCCAAGTAAATGCTTGATAAGAATTATTTACCCAGAGGCAAGTCCAACGTCAGGTGCCTGAGGAGTAAGGGACAGAGCCCCCGTCTGCTCGGATGGCTGTAGAGCCGGCCCCACTTGCCCTCCACTCAGACACTGCATGTGGCAAGCCCACGTCACAGGCGGTACCACCAGCCTTTATCCCCAAAACCTAAGGTGACACCAGGCTTGACACGGGCAGTCTTACTCAGGTGATCTATTAGTAGAAACTACTAGAAAAGGAGCAAGAAAGGGGGAGGAAATCAGGGTAAAGAGGTTAAACAGCACCAAAGTGATTATTAAACACTTTAATAACAAAAGTTATTGCTTAATGCATTTGGAGTTTTGGTTTGAGATGATGGAAGTGGGTGGATGGTGGCGATGGCCGTGCAATGATATGAAGGTACTTAAAGCCACTGAACCATACGCTTAAAAAGGAATAACATGGGAAATTTTATGCTATACATATTTTACTACAATTAAAAAGGAAAAAAACTTAGAATAAAGACTACCAAGAGACTGACGACTGAAGAGACAGCTCAAGAATGGATCACTGAAGGGACTCAGAAAAAAGCATTTGAAAAAAAAGCAAAGCCCAAAAGACACCGCTCCTCTTATTTTAAAATACAGCCCCAAACCCACGATGACAGCTCCAAAGTCAACCTCGGATATACGGTTGTGCTTGAAAGCTCTAGAACTCCTAGCACAGCACAAACACATGGTAGGTTATCTGTTTTCTGAACGTGACTAGCATCACTTGAATAAGTGGCTCAAAGCGTAGGAATTATTCTGATGAACAGGTCTTTCTCCTGTAACAAAGCAGTGACAGTCAGATGTGACCTCTGTGATTTGATACACTCCTAAGGGACAAATATCTCTGCCCAGAAACATCCCAATCTAGCTGCCAAAGATAGCTCTGCTCACCTGCACAACCTGGCCTCATTCTCGATCTTCAGACCTTTCCTACGTGGAGGCTAACCCCAGTCTAAACCCACACCAAATCTTCATGTAACCTTTTTACCTTCTCTCTAAACAAAAAACCCTAATCCCCGCTGACTGAGTCTTTCATTTTCTCGGCTAAAAACATAGGACCTGAAGCCATTAAACTTGTGATAGGAAAAACCAGGGTTCCAGAGGTTCAGGAGAGCATTTTTCTCCTAGTCTCATTTGAAGGGTCATTTTACTAATCAGAAACAGGCCTAAACTGCCATCACCATTATCCGTCACCAGAAGGCCAGGGGGAAAGACACACACACACACACACACACACACACACCCCTAAGGACAAGTAAAATCAAAACCAAAAGGCAATGAATCCTACCCCTTCATTTCACATACAGTGAGGTAAATAATGGCGCTACAGCAACTTCATTTGCAGAGATCCAGGATGCCAGGAAGTCACCTCTCCTGCCCTCTGCTTCACTGGCTTGCTCAGCCGAGCCATTCGTCAGTGTGAGCCGTGTGCACTGCCACCGTAAATGCCCCCAACATAGTCCAGGTTCTTCAGAAGTTTGAAACTCCAAAACCATTCCCACAAAAATATCTCTAAATAGGGTTTCCTCTTTAAAATACAATATAGAATGTAAAAAAATGGGGTTTCTTGGCAACACTCTTTTAAGAGATAGTGTTATCCTAGGCGGAAGTAGGAATCAATAAAGGCAGGGGGAATGGGACAGGTGCAGTGACTCATGGGCCAGATGTAGTGACTCATACCTATAATCCCAGCACTTTGAGAGGCCAAGGCAGGAGGCGTGAGGCCAGGCATCTGAGGCCAGCCTGGGCAACACAATAAGACCCCATCTTTACAAGCAATTTAAAAAATAGCTAGGCATGATGGCACACACCTGTAGTCCCAGCTACTCAGGAGGCTGAGGCAAGCAGATCGCTTGAGCCAGAGAGTTGAGGCTGCAGTGAGCTAGGATCATGCTGCTGCACTCCAGTCGAGGCGACAGAACGAAACCCTCCCTCTAGAAACTACTTAATTAATTAAAAATAAAGGGAATGGCCATACCCCTGTGTGTCTATGCTTAAAGATTTTATGGCAAAGAGCTGGCCAAGGCTACCAGTAAGCCCGCTGTAAACTACCAATTCACAAAAGTACCAGAGGCTGATAAATGCTTCATCCCAGGTTATATTCAAAAGTAAACATGACCGTTAAAAGTCGCAGGAAGACTAATCTGAAAGTCAAAGGCCCCATCGCCTGCTAGCCCATCCTGTGAGCCATGTTCCTTCCACTACAGATGAAGGCATGGTTAATAGGAGTGGGCCAGCTGACCCACAGTTTCCTAGAAGCCTTTAGACTGGGTATGAAAGTGCTGAACTAGGTTCCCTGCTTGTTGGCGTCTTGTGGGGAGTGGCTCACACGTGGCATCTTATATAACACCCATCAGGGCCTTTGGTAGCTTTCATCCCTCCAACTCCAGGCTTACCAGCAAGTATGCACCTCCAGGAACATCTGGGATGCAGAAAAAGAAGGAACTAAATCCCATGATAGACCCTGTGGGAAGGATGCTTCCTGAACTCTGGTCTCCTTCCATGAAATATGGCATTCTACTTATTAGCAACTTCCAGTATGACCTTCATAGATCTGACACTACTTTTCCCTAAACAAATATGTTTTGAAGGCCAGGCGCCTTCAAGGCACCTGTAATTACAAGGCTCACGCCTGTAATCCCAGCACTTTGGGAGGCTGAGGCAGGCGGATCACCTGAGATCAGAAGTTCAAGACCAGCCTGACCAACATGGAGAAACCCCGTCTCTACTAAAAATACAAAATTAGCTGGGCGTGGTGACTCATGCATGTAATCCCAGCTACTCGGGAGGCTGAGGCAGGAGAATCGCTTGAACCCGGGAGGCAGAGGTTGCAGTGAGCTGAGCTCGTTCCCCAGCCTGGGCAACAAGAGTGAGACTCTGTCTCAAAAAAAATATCTATATCTATATCTATATATCTATATCTATATATATAGATGTCTATATATATAGATATAGATATCTATATATATAGACATCTAAATATATAGATATAGATATAGATATATATGTTTTGAGAAGAAAATGTCAGTGTCTCACAGGGAATAAACATTGAGGCAAAATTTCTGAAAATAAAATTTCTCCACCCTTCAATAAAGCCCGTGACTCTTTTAACTCTACACAAGAAGAGAAAACAATTAGAAATGGAACAAACGAAGAGGCTTTTGAGTAAATATGATTACAATAAAAGAGATCATATGACTTGAATTATGGTCTCTTCACTATTTTTAATCATGTGTGGACTTAGTGACTTTCTACGCTTTGCCACAAAACTGCATCTTCTCATCTTTTATACTTGCTTTTTAAAAAATCTTGCATTGACAGAATCTCAAAGAATCTCAACCAACAGAAATTTGCCCTTAGCTGGCATTTGTAGGGCTAATAGCCACCCGAAACCTCAAAATAAACAGGCAACCATGCCTGTTTACTTTGCCTCTTCCAAGTTCCCTGTTCTGATTCTCTGTGTTCTCGTCTCCACCTTACCTGAATAATCCATCATGATCACGTTCACAGCACATAAGTAATGCACTTTACAAAAGCATCTCTAGAAATTGAAGCTCCATTCTTAGATTTTCCCAGACTTACTTCTAGCTGCTATCTAGTGTGTATGTCACCCTATCCTCCTTCCTTTCTCTACTGAAATGCACTAGAGTCTGGAGGCAGATTGGCTAGGGGTTGTAATGGAATATGTAGCCTTTCACCTCTGGGTCACTATGCTGAATCTGGGCCACATCAGCAGCATCTGAAAGCAGTTACTGTACCATCTAATGGCCTTGCTAAAGACAAAAGCCACTGTTCTAGCTTTTCACCCTGGTGGGAAGTCTCAACCGGGAGAGACAGCAAGGAATGAGCAATGGGCCCCCAGGAGAAACTCCCAGTTAGCCACAGTCCACGAGAGTGGTTTGAAGGAGTCCTCTGCAAGAGAAGCTTGGAGGCTTCATAATCTGATGACTGTGGTACTTCATCTGTGGCCAGACACCATGGTATACATTATGATAATTCCCATTCCTTAACCGAGGAAGCATGAGACACCTGCAAAAAGGTAAATAAATTTCAATAAACCCTGAAATCCCACAAGCTCCAAAGGGCCCTTCTCCAGAAAAGCCCTATGGGGAGTAAAGCCAAAGAATAGGCAGAAGACGTCAGCTCTGTCCTAAGCTCACTGGTGACACTCATCAAGCGTCCAGAGCCTAGAACAGCGCCTGACACAGAGTCGATACTGTAAAAATAGTTGCTGAGGGGCCAGGTGTGGTGGCACATGCCTGCAGTCCCAGCTACTTGGGAGGCTGTGGCGAGAGGATCGTTTGAGCCCAGGAGTTTGAGGTTACAGCGAGCTATGATTGCACCACTGCACTCCAGCCCGGATGACAGAGCAAGGTTCTGTCTCAGTAAATAAATAAATAAATAAATAAGTACATACATAGTTGCTGAATAGGAGTAAAAAAAGAGTTTCTTGGTCTCTCTGTCCTTCTCTCTCTTTTTTTTTCTTGTATTACTGTTAGAGATGTCCTTCTCTTTTGTCTATTAAGTGAATTTAAGAGACACCACGCCACATCTGGCCATGATACTCCTTAAAGGGGTGTAAAGAGAAAGGTGGGAAAATAGTGGCAATGACCCAGTACAGTGTGGCCTGAAGAACGCAGCCATATAAATATAAGGTGGTGTTAACTCAGCAGATCTTTAAAAGGGTCCATTTGGTCTAATTCCAAAAGAGTCATACACATAAAATGTGTGGGCAGATTTGGAAAAGTTATGCTGCCATTGAGCATATTGCTGTCAAGCACCCAAGAGATAATAAATCATTTTTTTGGAGTTTACTGCAAAATGTGCGATGTAATTATAGTAATGTATCAGTAACTACTATGCAGGGAACCATTTAATGTGCTGCTCTCACAAAGACTGATTTGCCGGCTCAATGTGTTTACTTAGTGATGACGACTGCCCTGCCCGTGTAAAACTTTTCTAACGACCACAGGCACAAATAAAAGAGCTGTCTTGCACTGAGTCCTGCAGAACAGAGCAGCGTGGGTCTGGCCCGTGTCACACGTCGTACCACGGCAAATGCAGAGGGAGGAGCTAAGGGGCTCTTGGCTGCCAGGGCCAGCCCTATTCTCAGAAGGTCCGTGGAAGTAAGAGAAAGGAGAGAAAAAGGTGGGGGGGACTCCTGCATCCCTCTATAGCCATTCACCTGGCCCCAATTCTCAATAGCATCCCCTTTCCCTCCAAGGGACTGCAGTGAGCCTCACAGGGAGGCCGGGGAGCAGGAAGGGCTGTGCAGTGAGTGCAGGACCACAGCCTCCCCGGCCCGCGTCTCCAGGCATCTAACCTCACTGAGCTTCTTTACCCGTAAAGTGGCCTGTCTCATAGGGTGGATCAAACGTGAGACTGCTTGTAACGTGCTTGGGAGTCTCTGGTGGCCAGATTGTACGTATTACCATGATTACCCTCATGAGCCGTCACTGGGCGACCAGTGCACAGGGATATCACTTCCGTCAAATACAATTTTGTGACACAACTTATACTACTTTCCGTGTGTGTGCGCCCAGTAAAACAACATAACATTGACCTCTCATAATAATTTTTCAGCGTGCAGCTCAGTGACATTATGTACGCCCCCACCATTGTGCAACCACCACCACCTTCCATATGCAGAATTCTTTTCATCTTCCCCAATTCTTGGTAACCACCATCCTACTTTCTATGTCTATGAATCTCACTACACTAAGTATCTCATATCACCAGAATCATATAATATTTGTCTTTGTGACTGGCTTATTTCACTTGGCATAATGTCCTCAGGGTTCATCCAGGTCATAGCCTGTGCCTGAATCTCCTTTTTTTAGGGCTGGATACTATTCCATTGCATGGATATACCACATTTTGCTTAGTCATTCATGTGTCAGCAGACACTTGGGTAGCTTCTACATTTTAGCTATTGTGAATAAGGCTGCTATGAACATGGCTATCGTACTGCTATACTGATGTATTACACGGTATCATCACTTGTTAAAACTGACATATAAATCTTACATTGTTATTTCACTTCTTGTGAAATTGATGTGGTGGGCCACCCTCTTTGTTTTGTTTTTGTTTTTGTTTTTTGAGATGGAGTCTCGCTCTGTCACCCAGGCTGGAGCGCAGTGATGCAATATCGGCTCCCTGCAACCTCCGCCTCCTGGGTTCAAGCAATTCTCCTGCCTCAGCCTCCCAAGTAGCTGGAATTACAGGCGCATACAACCACATCTGGCTAATTTTTGTATTTTTAGTAGAGATGGGGTTTCACCATGTTGGCCAGGCTGGTCTTGAACTCCTGACCTCAGGTGATCTGCCCGCCTCGGCCTCCTAAATTGCTGGCATTACAGGTGTGAGCCACCATGCCCAGCTGGGCCACCCACTTTGGACACCTCCTGTCTGTCAATGCTGCATTTCTTTGGGTTCCTGCAGCCCCTCAAGGCCGTTTCTGGTCTCTAGCTATGAGATTCCTCACCTTCCTCAGTCTTCTCTCACTAACTCCTCTCCATCATCACCCCTTCTAGGAAGCTACCCCTTCCGACTCCCTCCCAGCCATGACACTTCTTAGGCGGGGCCTGTAAGAAAAGAAAGATGCAATGTTCCAGCAGCCCGGAGCCATGCTGGCTGCTCCCCAAGTGTCCTAACTCTGCACTTACCACGTGGCTTCTGTACCCACCCCCCCCACCAGACTGGGAGGGACTTGAGGGCAAGGGCTGCGTCTTAGTCATCTTTACATCCCCACCACCAAGTCTAGACACACGAATGTACGGTGAAGGCCAAAGAAATGCTGGACAGGTAGATGAGTGGATAAACAAACAGGTGGATGGATAAGGAAATGAAAAATGAATGAACTGACTGTTAATGAGATGGAATGAACCCTGGAGTCAGGAGGTCGCTGTCTAAAAGTGTAAGTTTTACTTTTCCCTTCTGGCAGTTTGGGATGGGAGCTTGGATACTCACATTTAATGAATGACTACCATGCAGCAGACAAAACACGCCTGTGAAGCAGTTATTATGATTAACACCATCGTGCAAGCGAGGAAACCAACACGGAAAATGGTTAAGGCCTTCTCTAGGTTCCCAGAGCTGGTATGCGGCAGAGCAAAATATACAAATCCTGATGGGATGGCCAGACCCCAAGAACCATGCTCTTCATCAGGGAACTGTAATGCAATGCTGGACACCCTGTAGGTTCCCTCTATGCCATCGTTCTATGATTATAAAATGCTAATAATTTAAAAGAATATGCTGAAGTTCCCAGGAGAAAAGGCAATTTATACAGTGTTAAAAACTAATGGCCTTTATTTCAATTGACATAGGATAGTGATTTTTGTCCCATGTAAGAATTTTTTTTTTGAGATGGAGTCTCACTCTGTCGCCTAGGCTGGAGTGCAATGGCGCGATCTCAGCTCACTGCAACCTCCACCTCCCGGGTTCAAGCAATTCTTCTGCCTTAGCTTCCGGAGTAGCTGGGATTACAGGCATGTGCCACCACACCCAGCTAACTTTTTTGTATTTTTAGTAGAGACGGGGTTTCACCATGTTGGTCAGGCTGGTTTCGAACTCCCGACATCGTGATCCGCCCGCCTTGGCCTCCCAAAGTGCTGGGATTACAGGCGTGAGCCACCGTGCGGGCCCCATGTAAGAATTATTAAAGACGATGCTCTTAAACGATGTGCTGAAGAGATATAATGTGCTGAAGAGGTGCTCTTAACTAATGTGATGAACTCTACTCTATTTCTCTTTGGGAGAACCAGCACGACCCTGTCAATGTCCGTGGAAAAACCATCCTGCCTCCTTGTCACTTTCACCAAAAGATCAAAACCAGCTCACTGCATTCCTCCACTCTCTTCAAACTCCAAGGTAGTCCAAAGCCTTTAAAGGGAGATTTCTTTCTTATTCTCATGCCCAACTCCATTGGGATGTAATCACATGTTACCATCTCACCAAATAATGGAGACAGTGCAGAATCAATTACCAGATAAAGGGAAAAATTAAACCAAACATGAACACTGCCTGAGGGGTCAGTGTCTAGACAAGTGACCTCATGCTTGCTGCAACAGACTGAACGCTTATGTTCTCCCCAAAATCATGTTGAAACCTAACCCCCAAAGTGATGGTAGTAGGAGGTGGGCCTTTGGGAGCAAACTGGGTCATGAAGGCAGAGCTCTCATAATTGGGATTCCTGCCCTTACAAAACAGACCCTGGAGAGCTAGCCAGTCCCTTCCACTACGTGAGGACACAGCAAGACAGTGCCATCTATGAATCAAAAAGCAGACCTCACAAGACACTCAATCTGATGGGGCCTTGATCTCAGAATTCCCAGCCTCCAGAACCGTGAGAAATCAGTATTTCTGTTGTTTATAAGCCACCCAGTTCGTGGTATTTTGTTATAGCAGCATGAATTGGCTAAGACATTTGCCCTCTATGTTTGGTTCTGATAAGTTTCGTCCCTGGAACACCTGGAACCAATTGTAAGCATCCAGTGAGCATTCCCACATGTCTTTATTCTGCAAGGGTAGAAGTGGATATGAGGGCATGAGACTTAGCCAAAACAAGGACGTATTGACTGACAAGAAATGCAAGGACCCTCAAACCAGCCGACCCATAAATGCCTAGACTAAGCTCCACCGAGGTGAAGGCGCTGCTCTTACTCTGTGCTCCCTGTGAATTTCACTCTTTGCTGGAATACAGGAGGCCATGTCAGTGGGATGGCATCACGGCACTTTCCAGGACTCACCCAGGCATCATCTCCCATCCCGCCATTTGTCACCACCGTCCCATCCTCTATCATCCTCTTCCTTCACACCAGTGACGTTTTGGTTATGCAGCAGTGGACGGGTGATTTTTTTTTTCAAAACACCAGAAATCTACTTGGTACACAGGCACCAAACAAAAAACAAAGTGAACAAGACAGGACATTAACTACGCTCACGGAGTGTAGTGTCAAGGAGATCCACATGGGCAAGAGAGCAGCATAAATAAATCCTCTTAAATCTTTGAAGGAGATTCAGAATCCAGAGGTTTTCTGGGTGACCCTGGAGAAGCCTCCTAAACCTCTGCATCATTTTGTTATCTCCTTCCTGACCACCATAAAGGGGCATTATGGAGGATCCCTAATAATTATGAGCCCTCTATAAAAAAGGTAAATTAGCAGAAACCACCACCACAAAAAGCCCACAGCCGGGCAACTTCCTTCCCCCAAGTGGATGCCTCACACAGGAAGCAGAGTGCCTCATTGGATATATTGAAACCATGCCTTTGTATCGCATTTACCACCCCGGCTGCAAAAAATGCTTGTAAAGCCATCATGGGAGGACTAGGAGCTGCCAACCGCTTCCTCTGCTCTCAGCCTGCCGAGAGGGTCAGCCATCCTTCTCTGCTGAATGCTCTTGTAATTGCACGGCCCACTTTATTAGCTGCCTTGACCTCCAATAAAAGCTTCAGCCTAACAATGTCTGAAACCTGGGGCAGAATGTCTACCGTGTTACCACCTTACATGCTGCCTTCAGGGCCTCCACAAAGTGCTTGCGCGCACACACACACACACACACACACACACACACACACCATGGCCCGTTAGAAAGTCGAGTGCATGGACAAACTTAGGGGCAAAGAACAAGAGGAGAAATAAAGGGTAGAATGTCTGAGGACACAGGCAAGCTTGCATGGAGGGTTTGCTGTGGGTTGGATGTGTCTGGCTGCAGAATGCTCCATTCACGCCCTGGTAAGATACGTGCAGAGAGCTCGGTGGAAGGACGAGGGAGGGGCACCAAGTGGTGTTCCTGGGGCTCGTGCTCCTCTGTGCCTGTTCTCCACTCTGCTCCAAAGCCATCACGCGCTCTGGACTAGTTAAACAAAATCAAGTTCTGCTTTTAATAGCTATATTCCCTGAATTGTGTTTAGACTCAAATACAAAGTATTAGATTTGAAATAAGAGTCAGGGAAACATCCCCCAGGAAGTAGATATTTTAAAGAGGCAACCTTGGCTAAATGATTAAAGAGAAAAATAAAAATCGATGATAACTGCATGGGCCTCGTTGACTCAGCGGGCAGCTACCTGTTCCATTCTTTCCCAGACCACAGCATCAAACACTACGGGGCATTAAACCCACGTCAGGGGCATGTGATATGTAAATACTGGCCTAATCAATATGGCTCTGTCTAGGCATTTGAAAGAGCAGAAAAAAAGAGAGAAATCAAAGGGAGCAAAAAGATTTTGGAAAAAAATCAGATGAAGAATGATGAATAAAATGTTTATAGAGTTCTGGTGTTCCTATACTGCTACTCAGGAAGAACTCTTCGTATGTTATTTCTAAATCCTAATCAATATGGCAGAACTTTTAATGTAAAATTAACTACAAAACATCCTTATTTCTAAGGCAATACTTTTCTTCAAATACTCCATACTAAATCTCTCTTCTAGAATCAATTGTCCTTTTGTTTGTCTATTTCTGCTTAGAAACACATTAGACAGTAAAACAAATAGCTTTATTAAGAAACAGGAAGAACCCTGTCAGTTTATGATCCGAATTCCAAAAGCAGAAGCATCAGCAACGACGGCGCTACCGGCCCCTCCGCTTGGCTTCCGGTCCCTCCCCTTGGCTGGACGGACAAGGAGGTCGCTGCGGCGGCTGCAGATGAGATGTCCCACAAACATGGCAGCCCACAGAACAGCTTCAGCCAGAAACCCACTTGGATTTTGCCAGGCACATCCCTGTGGAATCTGGGTTCACGGAGTGGACTCCCAAAGCCTCAGCTTCACAGAGACTCACAGGCTTGGGAGAAGCTTAGAGCCCACCGACTACCATGCTCTTAGATTACAAAAGAAAAATCAAGCACAGGCCAGCTAGGTGATTCTCCCAAGATCATAATGCTTATCAGTGCTGGAAGCAGGACTGCACCTCTGTCCCCAGATCCAAGGACAGTCCTTTTTCACCTAAATATCTGGGATTGTAGACAACCTTGGATGCGTATACCACCCATTTCTTTGTTTCCTCGCCCTCTCTCTCATCCGTCCTCCTCCTCCTCCCCTCTTATTCCTCTCCTTTCTATCCTCCTCCCATCTATCCCTCAGCCCCCATCACCACGCTGCCTGTCTTGGTAAAGGACACCTGATGCTCTAATTCCCAGCCATGGTACCATGGGGAAGACACTCTGCCACCTGCTTAGGACTGAGACTCCCTGCTGTGCAAAGTTACACAACTGAACTGGGCAGGTGATTTTTTTTTTTAAACAATGGTGGCTGCTTCCAGTTGTTTGCCTGAATTCAGCTGTTTATTTTCTGTACAACCATTTGGTTAGATAGCTCGACAGCTTTTGGTGCTGGTTGTTATTGCTGGCTTCTAATCAGTTAATAGGTGAGTCTCCCATTCTTGTGTGAAGCCACCAGTTAGGTGGAGGAAGGGTTGGGAAGTAGTGATTATAACCCCAAAGAAAGCAACCACTCTAAATACGATGATAGAGTTTCATGGGGAAGTGTAGCTGCTCATCACTGCCAACTCAAAGACAAAATTACACTGCAGAAAAATCTCAAGTTCTATCGGTTCCTAGGTTAGCTCAGAAAAAAAATCCTGAATTAGCATATACAGACCTCAGACATCACTTAGATAAGGACATATCAAAATAAAAGTTTCTATTTGTCACCCCTGTGATAGAAAAGCGGATTTTAATTTATTATTTGCAGCTCATGCTTTCAAGCAAAAAAAAAAACAATTATATAAAAAGAAAGTTTACACGTAAGAACCATCAAAGATTTTAGAACCATGCTGTGTGGAGAGCTAAAATTTGTTCCAATAACTTTTTGTGGTTGGCAACAGTATTGAACGTAAACTCCAATAAGTAGAAAAGGAAAATCAAAATAGTCCCTCAGCTGTAACCTGGTCTATAACACTTAAGACATATTTATCGTTCTGCATATTTAAAAAATTAATAATACTTACTCTACCCTCAGAGCCTTCTGCTTTGCTAACCTCTATAGCAACGTTCAGAATGTCTCGGTTTTTTGTATTAGAGCTCACAGGATCCCTCTCCTCCACGGTCACCTCCAGCCCTGAGAGCTGATGTATGTGCAGGATATCCTGCTTGGTGGGGGAGGGTGACTTCTTTATTCCCAGACTTCCCATGGGGTCTGGTTGGAATCGATGTGATAGGATCAGCAAAGTACAACTGCAAAGAAAACCGTCTGAGACAGATAAAGCTGGATTGGAAGGCAGATAAGCCCAAATTCCTGGTGCGGCTCAGATCTGCACATCGCATGCGCAGTCACTGGAGGAAATCTGCTCTCCCTCATTCCCCGGAGCCGAAATGCCAAATGCCACATCTGCAAGTCTCCCTGGAGGGGCTACGAGAGGGGCCGGGCTTAAAGAAGGGATTTCCATCTGTGACAAAAAACTCTCAATCCATATTCATGGCACCTCAACCCAAAGGAGTCGCTATTTACATCCACTGAGCTCCCTTAAACTTTCTGTGGTGACAACTCTACAAATGAATAAATAAGAATGAGATGCTTTATCCACTTGGAGGTGAAGAAACAAAGACGCACTGAATGCTTTCATTTTCTCTGACTGCTGTTTCTCCATTTTCGTGTCAGATGGAAGGAAGGAAGGAAAAAAGGAAGGAAAGAGGGAAGGAAGGAGGGAAGGAAGGAGGGTAGGAATCTTATATAAAATTCAACTTCCTGTGGAAAGTCACTGGAATAATAACAGAAAGCGATGGTTGACTAGCATCTCACAATTTCACCTAATCCTCACGATCCTCCTGGTGGGGCTCTGTCATGACTCCCACTGTAGAGATGAGAATAACCACGTTTAGAAAGACCAAGGCTTGCCCAAGGTCACACCCTAAGTGACGGAGCCTGGTTTTGCACGCAAGTCTGTTGATTGTAGTTCTTCATTTTAAGATAATAAGAGCCTCAAGAAGTGGATCTCTTGTATCTCAGTGTCCTCAGCAACTCAAATGCTGCCTGAGATGTCCTCACCTCTCAATCTATTCCTGGACACAATGCCATTGGCTTTCTCCAGGGCACCAGAAATTCTTCCAACAAAGACATCCAATGACCTCCTCCTTGCCAGTTCAAAGAAAACCTCAGTCCTTACTTCCTTGACCTCTCCAGGGCATCAGACCTTTTGTCACCCCTATGCCCTGAAGCTCACTCCTTCCTCAGTTCCCATGACACTGTCTTCTCCTGGTTTTTCATCCCTCTTTTCTGGTCCCTCCTTCTTGGTCTGTCTTCTTAGCTCCTCAGGCCACTGGTCCCTTCGATGTCAATGGTCTCCACCACTTCATGTTCAGCTGTCTGTCGTCTCACCCCACACATCTGTGGAGAGCTCATGCCGTCTGTGGATTCCATCACCTTCTCTACGCTGACATCCCCCAGATCCATATCTCCACCTCAGAAGCCGCTCTAGAGCGCCAACAGGAGCCCATTGGACCATTCCACCTCAAGCTCTAGAGACCCCAATCAATTTAACATCCACAGCCATCCTCGAACACTGGGCTCACAATAACAAAACCCCTTCTCTGCCTGTATTCTTCATCTCCATAACTGGCAGCACCACCCACACACTTTCCCTGGCCAGAAACCTGGGAGAATGCATCATCTTTTCTCCCTCTGGCCCCGTATCTCAGCAGCTCCCCATGGCGGGTTTTCTACATATGATATGTGTCAGGCCGGAGCTGCCTCTCCCTTCCCTCTGTACTACCCTAGTTCAGTCTGTGTCATTCTTCACTCAAGCCACTGCAAGGGGCCTCCCAACTGGTCTCGGTGACACCACTCTTCCAACCCATCTTCTTGCTCATTCTCACAGCAATCTTTATTTTTTTTTTAAAGATGGAGTCTCGCACCGTCACCCACGCTGGAGTGCAGTGGCATCATCTTGGCTCACTACAACCTCCGCCTCCCGGGCTCAAGCGATTCTCCTGCCTCAGCCCCGAGTAGCTGAGATTACAGGTGTGGGCCACCACGCCCGGCTAATTTTTGTATTTTTAGTAGAGACGGGGTTTCACCATGTTGGCCAGGCTGGTCTCGAACTCCTGACCTCAGGTGATCCACCCGTCTTGGCCTCCCAAAGTTCTGGGATTACAGGCGTGAGCCACCGTGCCTGGCCAGCAATCTTTCTTAAATGCATATCTGATCATTTCACTCCCTTCATGAGTGCCCTCCAATGGCTGCCCACGTCCTACAGGATAAAGTCCAGCCTATAGCCTACAAGGCCTTTCATCCTCCATCTGCCTCCTTTCCAGCCTGTCACGCACTCATACAAATACTGTGTATGGTGACCATGTGCGACTTCAGTTCCCCATATGTAGGGGGCACGCATCACCCCTTCCTGGCCTATGCCTGCCGTTTCCTGTGGCTGGAACGCTTACGCTTCGCCACGTTCCTTGCCTGTCTCTGACACTAGACTGTGAGTTGCTCCAGGGCAGGAATTTTAGTATTTTTCCTATTTGGATTATAATGTGGCATAGTACTAGAACTGGCACATAAACAGGAATCAAAAATGTTCATTGGCATATGAATATCAAAGCAAAAACAATAAATGAAATATTAGCAAATTGGATCCAGAAGCATATCTTTCAAAATGCACTGTGGCCAAGTGGGGTTTATTATGGGAATACAAGGATGGTTCACTATTAGAAAATCAATAATAATAACTCACAATATTAACAAATCTAAGGAGAAAAATTGCATGATTCTCTCTCTAAATACTGAAAAGACATTTGGCAAAATATAATACCCATTCCTAATAAAACACTAAAGTAGGAATTGATGGATATTTACTTAACTTTAAAAAATATAGACAGATCTCAGTCCAAAAGCCAACATCTTAATAGAAAAAAATATATACACATGCCCACTATATCGCTATTATGTAACATTGTGTCAGGAGTACCAGCCAATGTAACAAAAAAGAGAAAACACTTAGAGGCATAAAAATAGCAAAGGAAGAGAGTAATGATATCTGTATTTGAAGAAGACAAAATTTTTTGAAAATCCAAGAGTACCAATTTTTTAAAAATCAGTGAATATAGTAGAATTTAATAAGGCGACGGGATATAAAACATGTAGATCAATATCCTTCACATAAATAATTATCAATTAAAAGAGATAATGAAAGTGAAGACTCCATTTACAATAGCAACAAAAGCTATAATACCTAAGAAAAAGTTTAACAAGAAATGTGCAAAGCCTATATGAAGAAACTCTTAAAAATTGCTAAAAAGTAGACTTGTTCAAATGAAAAGGTATTCCATGTTCTTGGGAAAGATTCAACACCATAAAGATGCCAACTATTCCCCCAGGTTAATGTATACATTCAACACGGTCCTAACAAAAAAAAAAATTGGAGTTAGGCAAGGAAACTCCTAGAAAAGAAAGGCACTATTTGAGGGAGAGAGAGCTAGCCCTGCCAAACATGAAAACATGCTACAGAGCTTCCATAATTAAAATAGTGTGGGCCAAGCGCAGTGGCTCACACCTGGAATCCCAGCACTTTGGGAGGCCAAGGCAGGCAGATCACTTGAGGTCAGGAGTTCAAGACCAGCCTGGACAACATGGTGAAACCCCATTTCTACTGAAAATACAAAAATTAGCTGGGCATGGTGGTCCGTGCCTGTATTTCCAGCTACTTGTGAGACTGAGGCGGGAGAACTGCTTGAACTTGGGAGGCGGAGGTTGCAGTGAGCCGAGATTGTGCCACTGTAACCCAGCCTGGACAACAGAGTGAGAACATTCTAGAAGATCCTGTAATAGGTCCAGATACAACTGAAAATTTGATTTATGACAATGGTGGTATCTTCAATTAATGTGAGAAAGATAAATTCTTTTTTTCACAAGAAGAAGTCTGCAAGTAAGAAGAATGTTTTAATAAAGTGGGGACAACTGGATAGACATTTAGAGAAAGATGAAATTTGATCTATATCTTTCATTTTGCACCAAAATAATCTCTCAATGGATTAGAGATCTAAATATTAAAAAGGACACTATTTAAATACTAGAAGAAAACATAGGTGAGTTCTTTGAGACCTGGAGGTGGACAAACATCTTTTTAACAATCACTCATTTCCAATTTTCTCAGATAGGCTCTGGAGCAGTTCCAAAGGCAATGGTAAGCCAATGATGGATACAAACTGAGTTGATATCTTGACAAATATTTCAAAAGTACATTAGGAATACAGGTGTATCCCCAGTCCTTTTGCATCTACACGAATGTACTTTAAAATAAGATATTTCTGCCTGTAATCCCAGCACTTTGGGAGGCCAAGGCGGGTGGATCACAAGGTCAAGAGATAGAGACTAGCCTGACCAATATGGTGAAACCCCATCTCTACTAAAAATACAAAAATTAGCTGGGCGTGGTGGCGGGCGCCTGTAGTCCCAGCTACTCGGGAGGCTGAGGCAGGAGAATTGCTTGAATCCAGGAGGCAGAGGTTGCAGTGAGCCGAGATCACGCCACTGTACTCCAGCCTGGGCAACAGAGCGAGACTCCGTCTCAAAAAAAAAAAAAAAAAAAAAAAAAAAAGATATTTCTGATGGGTGCATCTATAGGTATAAAAGAGCGATTGGGAGCACATTCTCAACAGTGCTCCTTCGCCACAATAACACCATAGACGAGAAACAGGAAAGAAAGGATGCTGATGAATAGCTTGTGACTGCAGAGAGTGGTAAAAAGGAAATTTGTCTTGTATTCCTGCAAAATGACCAAGAACCCTCCCAGACACCAGCCAATTTGCAATCTTTTTGAGGACAAAACAGAGCAGAGGTCTGGCCGCCCTGCCGATGGGGCACTGAAATGGCCGGCTGAAGAACTCTTCCTCGCAGAAGGTCAGGACGGGGCCCTCGGGCAGGGTTTTCTGTTCAGGAAGGGATGACAACAGGGTCTCCAATGGGTGCACGTAAATATAAGGAGGTTCCTTCCCCCCGCCCCTTGCATTCCAGCCAAGACAATTCCTCAACTCAGAACCTGACAGTCTCACATACTTTCCCCCAACCTCCCCACTCACTGGAAGTAAAATTCTCATCTGTGAGCCCAGGAAAAATAATAACCATCTCGAGCCGGTGCCTCTCACTCAGTCAGTTCTACTCACAGGGACCCTTAACAGCTTCTAGGGGAAAGTGTGATTGGATTTCTCTGTTCCTTGCATATTTTTTCTTCATGCTTCCTTCTATGATCTTAACCACATCAAGCACTTGGAATTCCAGGGTAAAAAAGAAAAAATCACGTTCATCTTCATTTTAATATATGAGATTATGTGTGTGTGTGTTTCAGTGTAGTTCGTGGTATGTAGGACAATCGTTGTTAGCCATTTATTACATATTATTATTATTACTATCATCGCTATTGTTGGCCCACTCATGGTACAATCTGTGATATAATGCCAAATAACAAATGGCAACTGATGTTGCCTCCATTTTAATTGACTTAATCCTTCCAAATGCTGACAAACTACCAGCCTCAGCCATTTAAAAATCACATTTCTAATGTAGTAATCCTATCTGCAATGGGTGTGGAAGGAATTATTGCAGGCCAGGGATTTTTGCAAAGTGAATTAAGTCACTATAAAAACTGACCATGTTGCTTCACAATTAATAGTCTGGTAGAATGAACTGCCATTATTCCACAGCTTGCTAAGCCTTAAAAAGAGATTACTGCTCACATGTCTCTCCTGGGAATGTTTTTATAAACTCCCAAAATGTTTCAGAAATTTTCAAATGATAAATGCTGTAGGACTTTTTCATGACTGCTATTATCTACTAACTGCTCCTTTATCTAAAATACTTCTGATATGAGAAAGACTCAAATGAAGCTTTTTGAAAATAGCCACATGTTCTTAGAAGAAAGAGAAGATTTCAGCTAGAAGTCCCTTATAATTAATAAGTACTCGAAATGCAATGTCTGTTTTATCCTATCTATAAAATGTTTTATGATGGCTTTTGGGGGACTTTTTGCGTCTAGTTATTTTTCCATACCCCTCTTTTGGAGCTGGCAAAATACAGAAATATGCATGTGGGGATATCTATATCTCCTCAAGTCTAGACTTACTTGGTCTCCGGCTATTTAGAGTCCACGTTTGGCGTTTTTAACCCCTATGACGCATTCCTTTCTTTCATCTCTGTGATTCCTGGCCACCCTTCTCAGTATGTCTGGCTAATCTTCCTGATATTTCTGGGGCATAAATGGACTCAGAATATCTGACTGAGAGACAATCAGATAGGAACATAGTTCTGCACTTTTTTTTTTTTACATAAAAGATTTTCTTTTATTGATATGGAAATGAACAGATGTCTGATAACCTTTTGCCAACCTGGAGCTTTACTGCTTACTCCAGGGAATTTCGTTGGGCTGTTGTTTCGTAGGACTTGCCCAGTCCATTCAAAAGTTCTGTCACAGATATCAGAATGATCTAGGCTAGCCCAAAATTGAGCAATTCGTTCCTTGGCCCCTATTTCTGGCTCAGTGCCCTGACTGTGTACAAAGCAGGAAAGATGCTCTTGCCATTGGACATGAAATGGTTTTGTATTCACACACTGGAAGGCTACAGTGGGTAAAAGGGCCATTCTCACTTAAAATCTCAACACTTTACACGTCCACATTCTTTTATCCGACCACTTCCACTCACCGGCACCAAAAGAGAAACGATATAAACCCAGTAAGTACTTTTTGTACTGATCAAGGTAATAAAAGTCAATCTGAGTGTTTTACAATCTGCCACCAAGCACAAACGTCTACTCACCAGGTAAGTTGCTATCGGAAAGGATGAATACAGAGTATCAACAGCAGAGCTATGTGAGCTCACAGCTGTCACTTCTACACGCCAGTCTTGAGATAGCCAAAAACAAAGTGTTTTATTATTAAATCTGCCTCCATCTCTTTCCAGAAAGCTCAGACTCGCTGCATGGAAAACCAAACTCATGATCATCCTTCCCTCTGAGCTCCATCCAATTCCATGTCTCCTCCTATTTCCTACCTCAGCCAACACTATCACCCACTCCGTTACGTTCAAATAATGTCATTTTCTACCATGAAGCCCTATCCTCCATTGGAGTGCTCAGAATAAGATGGTTCTTCTCAGGCCACCAGAGCCAGGCACTAGCTCCTGGAACCAACCAGATACCCGGAATGGGCTCTCTACTACTTCACCTCCCCTCCTTAACCAACTGTTCCAAAGACAGAACGGGGGATTCAATAGGGCTTGCTACCTACCAACAGGCACAGTGTGAGAACTCATATGGCAGCATGTTTAGAAAATATACAGATGAAATTAGAAACTGACAGGAGTAATATCTTATAAGAAAAACCTTAAATTCTGTAAAACATAAATCTAACAGAATCTTAGCTCATTAATAATCATCAACCCTCATATCTTTCTCTAAAGAATGAAAGCACTTTTCAGACCTTACCTTGGATCATTTTAATGACGTTTTAATAGTCTCATTCATTTTTTTCCTTAGGATATTAATAGGAAAGTTAAAAAGTAGAGAGGAAAACTAATTTACCCAATGTCACAAAGTAAATCAGTGGTGAAGAAGAACCAAAACCAAATCCATCCTAAAATATTAAGGTTCCTGGATGTGCTATTCTGCTTTTGACTTTTAAATATCTACCTAGGAGACATTTAATACCACCTAGTAGAATTTAACACTCTATTTAAGAAAATATTTCCCAAATGCAGGTAAGCATCTTAAGCAAATTACACAGATGATTTTTGTTAATTACTCCTCAAAAACATGTCTTTATCTTCCAGACTCTTACTCTTCAGAGCGAACTGAGCGAACTGCATGTTGGAGTCACAGTGACACCTCTTGTTCTAATGAAACTTAACTCCTTCTGTGCCTGAGGGCTACAGTGGTCCACAGTTTGTTCATTAATATTGCTCCGGGAAGAAGAAAAGTCTTATCCAAGTTACATGGCCTCCATCCATGGTACACCAGAGAACATGGCAACTGTTTGGCTATAAGGTTGCAAATGCTAAAGGTATAATGGAAATTGTACCTAAATGCAAGGTACAAATGCTTAAAACACACACCACACACACACACACACACACACACACACACAATTATTATTCACAAAGGCTTGCAGAAATTTTGTAGTTAAAATTGAGGCCCCACATCTCATTACTAACAATGAGCTGATGCAAAGCATCCTTCTTCCTGGCTGAGCCCTGTCTATGCCCTTGCACCAAATGTCACGCTTTACTGTGCTGCTTCACATATAAAACTCAGGCGACTGTGGTACTATGTGACATTCACGTATGCACTTAAAGTGATCCCCTGTGACTGCCCCCATGACTGCCAGGTCTTCTCTAGATGTCCTTGGATCACTCGAAGTCATTGTAGAGCATGGGGGTTCAGCAAATCCAGTGTTTCTTCTGGGGCCATCACCTCACTCTGACAATACAATCAGTTTACCAACAAGAGTTTTACCTTATCACATACATAAAATTGGCAAATATATTGAGCTGCCTCCCGTGACACTGTAAGTGAATGTTCCAGGCTGTTTCTATAAAAACAAGATTCCAGCTGGTCACAGGACTCCATAAAACATGATGGATGCGTATGAGTTTCAACATTTGTTTCCTCTGTAGATTTTCCTTCCCCTCCTCTTTTTTTAAATGAGAAGAGTGTATTTTGATCGGCCTTTGCATATAGGAACACCCAAAGCCACAATAAGCCTATTATAAGAATAGGTCCTCAAGAAAGGTCTAAAATAATTTGGTAGGCTGTAACGTATTAGGACTGCCAAATATCAGCTACTAGATCTTTAAGAACCAAGGTCCTTCCATCTTTATCAGATGCTCCCATCCAGTTCAACAACCTCACAGCACCCTACATTCCCTCCACAAATGTGAAGACATTGTGAACTGTGCATTTTGTGGTTGTTATCTGTATCCTCCACTAGAATCTAAGCTCCACGTGGACAAGGACTGCATGAATGGACCTGGTATTTTCATTGCTGTGCCTGACACAGTGCCTCGGATGGAGTAGAAAATCAATGAATATTGATGAAGGATCACGAGAGCAAATAAATCTGTGAATGAAGAAACGGTGTTAAATCGGAAGGTCTAGCACGCAAGAGCGAAATAAGCTTTTTGATTCCTTGAGATGTATCCTTGGGATGTCACGGCAGATGTATCAAACTACAAAAACGGTACACTGACAACCATCCACGAGTTCATTATTCTTGAGATAAGTTCTGCATTCATAAAACCAATTCTCCTGGTGGTCATTTCCCCCATTTTAAGTTTCACAGCGTCTGTGGGCATTTGTTGAATTTAACCCTTGCCTATGAAAACATCAACGTGTGTATCTGCATACGCAGGTTGGGCCAGCAGACGCAGTCATTCCTAAACGCCTACTCGAAATCACAGTATTTCATTTCTAAAGTCACGGAAATAATAAACCAGAAATTGACGTTGAACCAACAGTGTCAAAAACCTCTACAGCAATCCACTCTATTTCCTTGATATTGCTCTCTAACCACTGATAAAAACTCTTTGAAGTGGCCGAGTAAATATGATCATTTGATAGTACTTGGACCCAACAGTGCAAATACAATCGCATTGCTATCCCCTGGGGGCTCGGGCCAGTCACACACTGCGGGCAGGGTTGCTATGGAGGAACCAGTGTGCTTGGCGCAGGAGCAGGCCAGGAGGGAGCACTGCTCCGAAGAGCCACCCGCCTCCGGATCTTCCTCAGACACACACACAGACTGAGAAGGGGAAAATGCTGGCTTTCGAGTATGTTTCTGTTTCTGCAACCGCGGAAAGGATGGACCACAAACAGGCAGTGGGAAATGCCAGCTCCGAGCATCAGCTTGCTTTTACAGCTCCCGCTGACATTTTTGTAAAGGATCACAGGTGGGGGTGGGGAGAAACATCGAAAGCGCAGCCTGCAGCCGCCAGGGAGAGCTGGGAGGGGGCGGCAGGAGAGACCACCTGGGGGCCTCCCCCGTGGGCCGTGAGGCCTGTGGCCACGGGCGCCCCTTCGCGCTCGGGACTCGGTCCTCCTGCCCCCCGGGCGGCCTGGCTGAGGAAGGGGCATGGGTCGCCCCGCGTGCTAGAGCCCCGTGAGGTGTGGAGCATCCCCAGCGCCGCCGGGGGCTCTCGCGTGGAGCCGGCGCGCAAGGTCGCGGCGGGCTGAGCAGCTGCTGTGGGTGGCGGCCCGGCCCCGCCCTCCCGGCGCCTCCCCAGCCAGCCCCGCGCGGCGCTCACCTTGCCCGGGAAGGGCCCCGGGAGGAGCAACCTCAGGGCCTGCCTCTTGAGCTCCACCAGGCGGGCGTTGCAGTTCTCGCACCAGACGCCGCGGTCCGAGCCGGGGGAGGAGCCGCCGCCGCTGCCGGAGCCCGGGGAGCCTGTGCCGAAGCCCGGAGAGCCGCCCAAGGAGCCCGGCGAACTAGTGCCGATGCCGGGGGAGGCGGGTCCCGGGGAGCCGGTGAACGAGCTCGGGGACGAGGTGCCCGAGCCGGGAGACGGGGTCCCCGAGGAGCCGAGCGCTGAGCCCGCGCCCTCAGGAGTGGGCCGGCTGCCGGCGCGCGACTCCTCGTATGCTTTCCGGTACCAGCTTTCCGGGGAGAAGGGCGCTGCGGGCTTGGTGGGCGAGCAGACTTCATTCACCTGCGGGGAAGACACGCCGGTGTCAGGGGCTGCAAGGCGGCGGGCTGCAGCGCCCAGGAGCTGGGTCATACGTGCGCCACCAAGTACCCGCTCGAACCGCCCACGGGAGTCGGTTGGGGACCTCTCCAAGCCCTGCGGCCAAATTGCCCTCCGTCTGTCTCGTTAATTGTCCTTAAGTGAGTCCCCACCGCCCAGGTGACCCCTGCGCTGGTCCCCGGTGGCCTCCTCCTGGGGTCAGGAAGGGGACTCGCTCGGGGCCGTTTCCACGGCTTCTGCAAGGCGGGGGGGATCCATAGGTTCAGCGCCCCACGCTTTTGAAGCCGGCACCTATCCCAGCAAGATCCCGGGAACAAAATCCTGGAAGACCCTATGGGGGGGGTAGGGGGAGGGCTGTGATTTCAGGATTTTTATTCATACGGGGTCCAACTCTCCGGATCCTGCAGGTAAACGAGAGGCTCTCACGGCTCCAGCTAAACGATCCGAGGTACTGCCCAGCATTCATGGGAAACCCTCCCCTTCGGCTTCACTCTGCCTAGAAGTGCAGGAATGCGGCAAAAGTTACGGGTGCGTGGAAAGGAAGGAACGAGAGGGCTGAAAAAATTCCGAGAGCGAGGCGAGCGTGCGGGCGTCCCCGCGGCCGACCCGCCTCCGCGCACTCACAACCCCGCCAGCCCCGGGGGCGCCTCTGCAGCGGGGGAGAGCTCGGGGCCGGGGCCGCACGATCCCGGGGAAAGGGGGACCTCCGCCGAGATGGGTCTGGTAACGCGTCTCCGCGTCGTACCGTCACAACTTACCCCGTATTTCTTGCCCCTGGTGGAGACCGCAAGCCTCTCTTTATTCCCAGCTACCGAATTCATGGTGGCTTTTCCAGAGGAGAGTATCTAAAGGTTCCACCGACGCTACATCCAGAAGGTCCTCCAACCCAGAAGCGTCCCCCGGCTGCAGGGGGCTGGCTCTCAGCCCTCAGGGCAAGGTTTCTTCAGCGGTGGGGTGGGAGGGAATGAAAGCAAATGGATCCCACAAGTAATAGCACCAATTTGCAGAAAGGGTTGGGGTCGCTGGTTTATTCTTCTCTTCAAAGCATGCTTTTCCTCGTCCCCTTCTGCCTCTTCCAGCCGCACGTCCTCTTGTCACGGCCACATCCACAGAACTGGCATTTTCTTCAGCCAAGTCAGTCCGTGCTCCCCCACGAGGAAAGCGAGGGATACAATCAGGGCTCGCGGCCGCTGCCGGGAAGGTGGGAGAGCCGAGCCGAGTCAGCTGTGGGAACTTGTCTCCTTCACCGAGCTTGGTAACTGAGTTCAAAGAAATTCTCCCAAAATATAAAGATCCAGACTCGGGGAGGAGCCTCGGCGTGTCGCCGAGCCAATATCCGCCGGCCCGTTTCGCCTGACAGTTGCGCGAGGGCCGGGAGAGGGGCGGCTCCGCGTGGCCCGGGAGCGGTCGGCGGTCACAGCGCGCGTGTGCGCCCGGGCGCAGCGCGGAGGAGCCTCGGGAACCTGCCGCCCTCGCCGCGCCGGCCGGGATCCATTTTATGTGGCGGCGCTCGTGCCTGACATTGCGAGGCCTGGAGCCGGGCTGGGGCTGGGGGCGGGGGATCGTCGATCTCGCCGCGTGCGGGGAAGTTCCTGGCGCGCGGCCCGGGCCCGGGGCTCTAATGAAACGCCGCTGCGCGAGCCTGGAGCCCGGGGGCCGCGCGAGCGAGCGTGGCTGGACGGAAATGCGGTGCCCCAGCCTCCCCCGCCCCCAAGTTCTTTCTCTTCCTGACAAGGCTTGCAGGTCTGTCTGTGAAACGCCGTGCAAAAGGGATTGAGTCACAAACAAGTCCACAAACATGCCGGGTCCTCCCCCCGCCCTTTGTTCTCGGAGAGCTGCCGGGCAAACCTTTTCTGGAATTGCCCTACCGACCCCGGGCCGGCCGGGGGGCCACCCTCCCCGACCGCAGCCGCAGGACTAGGGCCCTTGGTCCCCCGCCCGCCCGAGCCCCGGTCTGTGATGGACTAAGCCGCCCGGGGCTGGGACAGGTGAGCCTGGTGACCCAGCGGGCCGCTGCCGGGCAGGGGAAACTGAGGGCTTCGCCGCGCTGCACGCGGACGACTCTGGCCTGGAGAGGGGGTGTGGCGCGAGCTGGCCTTGGCCTCTCCTTGCGTGGGATCGGGCCCCTCGCCCCCCGCCGCCCGTTTCTTCCTGCGCCTGGGCCCCGCGGGGTCTCCGGAGCACCCCGTCATCGCTCCCTCTCCGATCGCCCCCCGCCCCAGTCCCCCGGCGCAGCGCCCAGGAGCGCAGGAAGCCGGCGTATGCCAGGCTCCACACGTGGCTGCTCTGGGGTGTCATTTTTCATTTCACGGGAGGACATTTCTTCTGGTGAGCCAGCAGGTCTGTTTTGTTGTGACCTTTAATTAACACCCCGCGAGACGCCTCTGGAAGGACTGGCCGGGCGCAGGGATCACGTGGGGTGTAACGGCATCTCCGCGCCCGCGGGGAGACCCAGCCCGGGGGTGGGCGAGGGCGCGAAGGACGTTCAGGGCTTTCTGGTCGCTGACTTCCTTCTGAGCTGTGGACGACGCAGGAGGGGGCAAGAAGACAAAGGTTCGGGGTTCTGGAAGCCTGGGGCCACGCCCCCACTCTGCCTTCCTCGGGGACAATTTCTTCTGTGCCTCCCGTGCTCTGCCCCACTCCTCCCCGCTCCAGCTCCTGCGCGGGAATATTTCACAGCCACCAAAGCGAGGTAAAAAGGTCAAAAGGAAGATGGCAAGAACAGAGTGGACGTTTCCGTTACGTTCCCACTTCCAATTTAAAAGCGATCCTATCAATAGGGGACCTTAGGGGGCAGGTACACCTCCAGGCAGCACGCGCCAGCTCCCACCCGCATCTGTATTTCGCGTAGGTGCCGCGAAACACATCATCGCCATTGGCCACGAGCCGCTTATCAGCCAAAAAGCAGCGTGTGGTGAAACGAGCCGGCGAGGCCGCGGGTGGGGAAGGTGGGGTGTCGAGGGGGAGTGTTGGGGAGCTGCGCGATCCACCTCGGAGACGGGGGAGCCCAGAGCTGCTCTGATTTGCATTTCTAAGTAGCTGGGGGCCCAAAGCGTGTTTGGTGGGCTCCGAGCGCCCTCTGTTGATTAAAGTTTATAACCGGAGGCTCTGCAAGAGTTTTTAAGAAGCTTTCAAAAATTGATGTTTATGTAAAATGTATATACATAAGATGAAACGCACACATTTTAATTGTTAAGTTCTATGAATTTTGACAAACGTGTACTCTGCGTAGGCCACCACCTCGATCAACATCTATAAATTCCTGTCCCTCTTGAAGGTTATCTACCTTTTCCCAGGCAATCCCCACCTCTCATAAGAAACTACTGTTCTGATTTCTATCAGCATGGGTTAGTGTGGACTGATCTGGAAGGGTTTTTAATTCATAGAATCCGTACAGCATGTACTCTTTTGGGTTTGGCTTTTTTCACTTAACACAGGTTTTTGAGTTTCATGTTGTTGCTAGTATGGGTCTGTTTTCTATCTCTACTCTCTTTCATTCTTCTGTCTCTCATGCCTTTTTTTGTTAATTGAATAACTTTTCAGTATTCCAGTTTCATCTCTCTGTTGACTTTTTAGCTCTGATGATTATAATATGGATTTTTTTTTTGAGGCAGGGGCTCACTCTGTTGCCTGGGCTAGAGTGCAGTGGCGCTATTATGGCACACGGCAGCCTCCATCTCCCAGGCTCAAATGATCCTCTCTCCTCAGCCTCCCTAGTAGCTGGGACTACAGGTGCACACCACCACACCTGGCTAATTTTTTTTTTTTTTAAGTAGAGACAAGGTTTCCCTGTGTTGCCCAGGCTGGTCTCAAACTCCTGAGCTCAAGCTGTCTTCCCGCCTCCGCCTTCCAAAGTGCTGGGATTATGGCATGAAACCACCATACCTGGCCTATAATATGAATCTTTAACATTTCATAGGCTACTTAGAATTAACATTGTGCCGCTTCACCTAAAATGTAGACTTGCAACCTCTCCATCTTACCTTCCTCCTTTGTGCTACTAATTTGATATATTTTACATCTACATGCATTATAAAATCCACAAAACAATTTCATCAATTTTACTTGAAACAATCTGTTGTCTTTCAGTGAAAATGTCAAGTTTTTTATATTTACCCAGTTTTGTCATGTCTGGGGCTCTTTATTTTTTTTCCTTTAGAGGCAAGTTTCTAACTGGGTCATTTCTTTTAGTGTTTCTTATAGTGAGGGTCTCCTGGCAACAAATTCTCAGATTCTGCTTATCTGAAAATGTCTTTGTTTCACTTTTGTGTTTGAAGAATCGTTTAGCTAGACGTAGAATTCCTGATTGACAGTTATTTTTCTTTCAGCCCTTTGAGGATGTCATTCATTGCTTTTTGGCCTTCCTTGTTTCTGATGAGAGGTCAGCAGTAATTCATATGGACAGTCTCCTGTATGTAATGTGTCTTTTTTTCTCTGAGTTCTTTGAAGATTTTTTCTTTGCCTCTGGTTTTCAGTAATTTGACTATAATATTTCTATATGTGTTACTTTTTGTATTTATCCTGGTTAGGGTTTGCTGAATTTCTAGGATCTGTAAATTGATCTGTAAGTTTTTTACCAAATTTGGGGGATTCTCAGCCACTACTTAGTCAAATATTTTTTTCTGCCCTGTTCTCTCTTTTTCCTCTCCTTCTGGGATACCAATTACATGTTTGTTATTACAGTGCTTGATATTGTCTTATAGGTTATTGAAACTCTGTTCATTATTTACATTTTTACCTCTTTACAGACGGAATCATTTCTATTGCTCCTTTATTAAGTTCGCCAACCTTTGCTTCAGCTGCCTCCAATCTGCTGTTAAGCTGATGCAGCTGATCCAAAAATTGCATATGTGTGTGGGTGTGTGTGTGTGTTTCCAGTTCTCTGTTTTTTTCCCCCTTTAAATCCTTAAACATATTTACAGTAGCGTATTTAAAGTTCTTGTCTGAATTCCAACCTCTGACTCATTTGGGGGTCACTTTCTATTAACTGATTTTTCTACTGACTCGGAATCACATTTTCCTGTTTCTTTTCATATTCAAGAAATTGTAACTGTATATTGAATATTGTAGATGCTACATCATAGAGATGCTAGATTCTATTCCCTTCCTTGAGGAGTATTGATTTTTGTTCTAGCAGGCAGTTAAGTTACTGATGGGTCACCTCGAACTTGAGGAGGCTTGGTTTCATGCTTTCTTTGAGTGGTTCTAACTAGCTTTTGCCCTGAGATCTAAGGAAAATCCCTTAGTCCTGGGACTGTTCTTTATCCCCGAGGCGCAGCCCTTCTGCAGCTTCAATGGAAAGCCTAACCGCTTTGCCAGTCCCCTCTAACTTGGAACTCAGACTCCAACTCTGCTCCGTGCACTTGACAGGACTTGCAGTCTCTGCTCAACTCCTTCACCATGCAGTTCCTGCCTTCTCTCGACTTCCTGCAGCTCTTCTGGGTGTTCAGAGTTCAACTCATCAGCCAGATTTGAGGGAAATTTTAGTGGATTTCAGGGCTGCCCCAGTGTGGCTCTCTCCTTTCCTGGATTCTCCTTCCCCCTCTCCAGCTACTCTTGACAGCCCTGAACTTCACCATGGAATGCCTCAAACCCTACGACTGGCTTTTTTCTTGTGCTCTAGTCACAGTGCTCAGCAGACTGGAAGGAGGGCCCTAGAACCCTTCTTTTAAGGATTAGATCTTCGAACCCCTTCCAGTCTCTGCCTGCTTCTGGCCATTCTCCAGGGCCCTTAAATGGGTTGGTCATTGTTGTCAGTTTATGAGAGTTTTCTTTGGGAAATTCAACGTTGTACATAAGATACTCCCGAATTCTAGTTTTAACGGTGGCTTTTTCAGATCTACCTTGGGCTTTTGGAATTCTTGTTGTTTCAAGGGTTTTCTTTCTATGAATTAGCAGCCTGTAGCTATAATTTGATTCTCTATTAGACTGAGGAATTTCAGTGTTGCAACTGAAACCTTTACTCATTACTCATAGATAGATAAATGATATAGATTATAAATATACATGTTTTTCTTCTTCACATTTGAGGATGTTAACACTATTACTTCAAGATTTAGGTGGGAAAAGACACTCATTTTAAGAATGAAAAAATTATATACTGGCTTATAAAAGCCAAGAGTTTTTTTTTTTTTTTTTTTTTTTAAGACGGAGCCTCACTCTGTTCCCCAGGCTGGAGTGCAGTGGTAAGATCTCAGCTTATTGCAACCTTCACCTCTCGGGTTCAAGTGATTCTCATCCCTCAGCCTCCCAAGTAGCTGGGACTACAGGCATGCACCACCATGCCTGACTAATTTTTGTATTTTTAGTAGAGACGGGGTTTCACCATGTTGGCCAGACCAGTCTTGAACTCCTGACCTCAAGTGATCTGCCCACCTCGGCCTCCCAAAGTGCTGGGATTACAGGTGTGAGCCACCACACCCGGCCACCAAGAGCTTCTATGAACATCAATTTATTGATTCCGTTGATATCCCTGGGTGAAAAACATATCTTTCTGGTGTATCCATGAGTACAAAGTGCAAAGAAAGCTAAAGTCCATTACCTGGCTAAGAATGAAATTTTTATTCCATATTCCTTGTTGCTTAATTATTAAATGGACATAACTTCTTTGGGAATGCCTCACGGGACTTTTATATTTCAGAGAATGCAGTTTAGCTTTCCCATTATTTATAACTCAGGGGTGAATAGATCATAAATTTTATAGCTAAAATATATTATATCATTGTGTTTTTGAAAGTCTGAAAGTATAAATCAGAAATAAAAAACCAGCCAGGTGCGGTGGCTCACAACTATAATCCCAGCACTTTGGAAGGCCAAGGTGGGTGGACTGTTTGAGCCCAGGAGTTGAAGACCAGCCCAGGCAATATAACGAGACCTCATCTTTACAAAAAATACAAAAAAAAAAAAAGCTAGATGTGGTGGTGCATGCTTGGTAGTCCCAGCTACTTGGGAGGCTGAGGGGAGGATCATCTGAACCCAGGAGGCAGAAGTTGCAGTGAGCCAACATGGCATCATTGAACTCCAGCCTGGGCAACAGAGCAAGACTGTTCAAAAAAAAAAAAAAGGCTGGCAACTTCTAATTGCTAAGTTGACTGTACAGTACAGCAGATTTCACTCCTCTTCAATATTTTGCTTTCGAAATAATTTCCATATCAGTTCAGGCACCAACATGCCGACAGAGCCACTGAAGTGCGTGTGCTAGAGACGGCTGTGTTTCTCCTTGAAGAATAATTAAAGCAGCTTACACTGGCCACGTGGTATCTTGATGAATATGCAGACAATATTTGCATATGATCTTCTGGTGTTCTGAGGACCGTATGATCATGCGGGGGCCACCAGAGAGTCATCGGCAAGCTGGTAACGTGAATCTGTGTGCCTGGTCATTATTGTGGTATAAGAGGAGGGTTGTTATCCTGCAAGCTGAGAAAGGGTTTCCACTCTTGAAATATCATTTCAATCATTAATCATTTTAGCCTTATAAATTCCTTCCACGCTAAATTCCAAGGCTTGATTTCAGTCTGAAATTAAAAGTTCAGATGATAAAGGTAGATAGAGAGAAAAGATATGAACCAAATTTGTGTAGTCAGAGTGATACATTTTTTTTTGGTTGTTAATTTTATTTTGTTTTGGGGTTGGGGGAGAAAACTTAAAAAAGATTTTAAAAGACTTTAAAAAGATTAAAAAGAGCGAGGAGGATCAGACAATGTGTCCTCAGCCCACTGACCTTGGGTTCCAGATGCTCACAACCTTGGGCTGTGCTGCCCCTTCCACAGAAGTAACCTGCTTTGAAAAGGGATCACAGCATCCAGTGTAGCTCTGTTTATAATAGCGAAGGGGAGAAAAACAGCCTAAACGCACAAGAGTGGGGATGGGTTTAATAACTCACAGTCTAAGCCAGGCACAGTGGCACACACCTGTGGTCCCAGCTACTCAGGAGGCTGAGGCTGGAGGATGTTTTGAACCCAGGGGTTCGAGGCTGCAGTGAGCTATCATGGTGCCACTGCACTCCAGTCTGGCCAACATAGTGAGACCCCATTTCTTAAAAAAAGTAAATAAACAACTTACAGTCTAGTCAGACAGTGGAATACCTTGCAGCCCTTACAAATGCTCATAAAAGAATAATGGAATGCAAAGATATTGATCATATATTAGTGTTAAGTTAAAAAGTAAAGTATATGCAATATGATAATAACTCAGTAAAACCAAAAGAAAAGTATATATGTATCAGGAAAAAAAGATTAGATTTTAACACCAAAATATTAAAAAGCATAACAATTCTTTGGGGGGAGTTGCTAATTCTAATTCTGTTTTCTTTTTACTTTTGTTTGAGACAGGATCTCACTCTGTTGCCCAGGCTGGAGTACAGTGGCACAAGTGTAACTCACTATAGCCTTGAACTCCTGGGCTCAAGTGATCCTCCTGCTTCAGCCTCCCAAGCAGCTGGCAACTCTAATTGCTGGGCTTCGGGCATGCACCACCATACCTGGCTAATTATTTTATATTTTTTTATACAGACAGCATCTTGCTATGTTGCCCAGGATAGTCTCAAACACTTGGCCTCAAGTGATCCTCCCCGCACCTCAGCCTCCCAAAGTGCTGGGATTACAGGCATCAGCCACCATGACCAGCCTCTAATTCTGTTTTCTAAGACAGAATTTAATATTAATATTTAATATTCTTAATTTAATATTCTTATGAGAAAAAGATTAAAAGGAACTTAAAGCAAGTTTCAGTGTCAGAGAGGAATCACAAGAAGCTAGAGGGTAAACGATGTGTGTGCCCACAAAGCATCCAGACACACACACACACACACACACAATGTGAGCAACATGCACACATTGCACACACACACAGCTGCATGCCTAGCCAAAGCCAGGATACAACAAAGCAGGCTGGGCACGGTGGCTCACACCTGTAATCCCGACACTTTGGGAGGCTGAGGTAGGAGGATCACTTGAGGTCAGGAGTTCAAGACCAGCCTGGCCAACATGGTGAAACTCTGTCTCTACTAAAAATGCAAAAATTGGCCTGGCGCGGTGGCTCACGCCTGTAATCCCAACACTTTGGAGGCTGAGGCGGGTGGATCACGAGGCCAGGAGATCGAGACCGTCCTGGCTAACATGGTGAAACCCCGTCCCTACTAAAAATACAAAAAAAAAAAAAAAAATTAGCCCAGCGTGGTGGCAGGCACCTGTAGTCCCAGCTGCTCAGGAGGCTGAGGCCGGAGAATGGCGTGAACCTGGGAGGTGGAGCTTGCAGTGAGCCAAGATCGTGCCACTGCACTCCAGCCTGGGCGACAGAGTGAGACACTGTCTCAAAAAAAAAAAGAAAAATACAAAAATTCACCAGGTGTGGTGCGCACCTGTAGTCCCAGTTACTTGGGAGGATGAGGCAGGAGAATCACTTGAACCCCAGAGGCAGAGGTTGCAGTGAGCCGAGATCATGCCACTGCACTCCAGCCTGGGCAACAGAGTGAGAGGGAGCCAGGAGTTCAAGGCTACAGTGAGCTATGTTTGCACCACTGTGCTCCCTGGACAACAGATAGAAGCCTCATCTCTCTCTCTCTCTCTTTTTTTTTTTTAAAGGCAAAGCCAAGGAGAGTGCCAGGGAAAAACATAAACCCTTCCTTGGTCCCCAAGCAAGAACCACACACAGCTTAGGATCTGAGGTGGAAGATGTGGGTAGCAGGTGGGGCATAAAAAGCTAAAAAGCTGTGGAAGTCCAGAACTTAGAATAAAATACAACTGGGCCTAATTGAGGGTAGAGGATGGGAGGAGGGAGAAGATCAGAAAAAATAAGTATTGGGTACTAGGCTTAGTACCTGGGTGACAAGATTATCGGTACAACAAACCCTCGTGACACAAGGTTACCTATATAACAAACCTGCACATGTACCCCGAACCAAAAATAAAAGTTAAAATAACGAATAAAAAAACCCACTACCTATATGATTGGTGACTGTTCCAATGAATTCAAAAGAGAACCAGACTAGAATATCATTTTCTTGCTGGGGGGTGGCGGGGGGGAGTTCCTGGAAACATTTTTATTTAAAATTTTTAAAACAGCACTCAAATTACAGGCAGGAGAATTGCTTGAGCCCAGGAGTTTGAGACCAGCCTGGACAACATAGTGAGAACCCTGTCTCCACAAAACTAAAAAATTAGCCAGGTGTGGTGGCATGCACCTGTAGTCCCAACTACTTGAGAGGTTGAGGTAGGAGGATCACTTGAGCCCAGGAGGTCGAGGCCGCAGTGAGCCATGCTGGGGCCACTGCACTCCAGCCTGGACGAGAGAGTGAGACCCTCTCTCAAAAAAAAAAAAAAAGTGATGGGACGGGAGGGCCTTACAATTCCATAATTAGAAAACAAACAACCTCATCAAAAAATGGGTGAGAGACATGGACAGATATTTCATCAAAGAAGCTCTGTGTGTGGCTAATAAGCACATGAAATGAGGCTCCACATCATTCGTCATTAGAGAAATGAAAATTAAAAATACAAAGGACACCACTTCATACCCACTAGAACGACTATCATCAAAAAGACAGGCAATGACAACATTGTTGAGGATGTGGAGAAACGGGAACCCTCATGCGTTGCTGGTGGGAATGTAATATGGTGTGCTGTGTTGGAAAACAGTTTGGCAGTTTCTCAAAAAGTTAAACATAATATCACTGTACCGTCATCAACTTCATTCCTTAGTATCTATCCCAAGAGAAATAAAAGCATATGTTCACATTCACACAAAGACTTGCACACAAAAGTTCATAGTGGCATTATTTATAAATAGCCAAAAAGAGGTGAAATGTGCCTCAGCTGATGGATGGACAAAATGCGGTGTATCCAAAAATGGAGTATTACTGGGCAATAAAAAGGGATGAAATACTGATATACTGATAGACATCACAACACAAATGAATCTCAAAAGCATCATGCTAACTGAAAGAAACCAGACATGACAGATCACGTAGTGTGTGATTTCATCTATATGAAATGCTCAGAAGGCAAATCTGTAGATAGAAAGTAGCTTAGTGGTTGCCTGAAACTGGGGGTAGGAACAGGGATTAATTGTAAATGGGATCTTCATTGGGATGATGAAAATGTTCTGAAACTGATTTATGGTGATGGCTGCACCACTCAGTAAATTTACCAAAAAATATTGAACTGTGCACTTGAATAGGGTGGGTTTTATCATATGTAAAATATGTCAATAGTGCTGTTTTTAGAAAGTGATGGGAGAGGTAAAGGAGGGGATGGAAATTGGGGATCAATTTCAGAGCTGTTGGCACTCAATCGGCTAGGCTTGGAGACTAAACTGATGTGCAGAGATGGCAAGGATGATTTTCAGGCATATGAGCTGGGCAAGAGAGATGAAATACCATTTCCAACAACAAGAAAAGTGGGAGGAAGATGATGCATTTGATTTAGAAAAGATATGGCCACAATACACATATACACCATGGAATACTATGAAGCCATAAAAAAGAATGAGCTCATGTCCTTTGCAGGGACGTGGATGAAGCTGGAAGCCGTAATTCTCAGCAAACTAACACAGGAACAGAAAACCAAACACTGCATGTCCTCACTCGTAAGTGGGAGTTGAACAATGAGAACACATGGACCCAGGGAGGGGAACATCACACACCGGGGCCTGTCGAGGAGGGATAGCATTAGGTCAAATACCGAATGCATGTGGGGCTTAAAACCCAGATGACAGGTTGATGGGTGCAGCAAACCACCATGGCACATGTATACCTATGTAACAAACCCGCATGCTCTGCACATGTATCCCAGAACTGACATTAAAAAAGAGAAAAGATATGGCCACAATAATCCAGTTGTCTTTTCCCTCTGAAGCAAAAGTCCCAGAGAGAGAGTTAGCCTGTGTGCCCACTTCAGGAATCCCAGCATGTCCAGCTAGAGTCCCCATGGGGTCTAGCTTCATGTCGTCTTGGGAGAGGGGACCCCAGCACTGGGAAGATCATCAAAAGACACTGGCTGATTGCTGTTGGGAATAGAAGAGCCATTAAAGAAAATGAACTGAGAATGTGTGCTTAATTAAAAAAAAAAAAAAAAAGTTGTGATACTAAGAACTCTGTAAAGAACTGCCAGAACAAAGTTGCCGTGGCCAGGAGTAAGGCACGGGCTGTCTCCACCTAAGCCATACGAGCCGCAGCAGGTGCAGCAGCTTCAGCTGTGGGAGCGATGGCCACCAGAGTCAGCCGTAAGGGTGGTGGGCAGAGAAGCACACACAGCCCAGAGAAGGGCTTCAAAGACCGTGGTGGAGACACGGAAGCAACCTGAGGACCTGCTCAGGGAAGAGAGGGACTTGCTGGGGTGTGGGATTCCAGGATTCCTCCAATGAGGGCTTAGAATCAAGACCCATTTTTCTAAGCAGTGCTGTTGTTGCCCCCTGGCTTGACTGTCATCTCACAGCTGTGTGCTGCCTGAGGCTGGGCACCAGCACGGAATTGCTAAAGCCTCCACCATCACTGCTGCAAATGTTCCCTTTGCCACTTCCCCCTTCACCTCATCAGCTGCACAGAATCTGCCATCACGTCTCCATCCTCTCAATTCTAAAGGTTCACTAGAAAATCAACAGTTCTGATCTACTCACATGGGGCCCATTCAACTCATGAGTTGGAAATGCAGTGTATCTGGATGGAGGAACAGACAGGTGGATAGATGGGTGGGTGGACAGATGGGTGGGTGGACAGATGGATGGACAGGTGGATGAGTGAACAGACAGGTGGACAGAGTGGGTGGACAGATGGACGGATGGGTGGACGGGTGGACGGACAGACAGGTGGGCAGATGGGGGAGTGGACAGATGGACGGACAGGTGGATGGACAGACGGGTGGGTGGACAGATGGACGGACGTGTGGATGGACAGACAGGTGGACAAAGTGGGTGGACAAATGGACAGACGGGTAGATGGGTGGATGGACAGACAGGTGGACAGAGTGGATGGACAGATGGACGGACGGGTGGACAGGTGGACGGAGAGACAGGCAGACAGACAGGTGGGCAGATGGGTGGGTGGACAGATGGACGGACGGGTGGGTGGACAGACGGGTGGGTGGACAGATGGACGGGTGGACAGGTGGACAGACAGGTGGACAGATGGACAGATGGGTGGGCAGACAGACGGGTGGGTGGACAGACAGGTGGGTGGACAGATGGACGGATGGGTGGACGGGTGGATGGATAGATGGAAGACGTATGACCTTGGGTGAAGAGAGGGATCAGGTGAGAGTAACTGGTCAGTAGATGCTCCTAGGTGGGGACTGTAGCAGCTCACAGTTTCCTATGAAAAGGCTGAGATGGAGAGCAAGCTGTGACCCTTCCTGCTACTTTTCTAATTTTAAAAAAAATCACAAGATTTAAGTGTAAAGCTTCATTTAAAAACAACAGCATAGGTAAGTGTTGGGGAATTCAGGAGTTATGGTCTCCACAGCAACATTCACGTGGCCACCCAACTACTAGCAAATAAATGAAATTAAGCATTTCTATTGCCCTTCACATTCAGCCGTATGCTAAGCAGTCACTTTATTGGTTTATAATTCCTCACAGCCACCCGTGAGGGAGGCAGCCTCCTCGCTCCCACAGGAAGGATGAGGACACCAAGTCCCAGGAGAAGAATGATGCCCAGAGAATCCCGTCATGGGACGAGCCGGGACAAGCCGTGATGAGCCATGACAAGCCGTGACAAGCCATGACTAGCCATGACTAGCCGTGACTAGCCGTGACTAGCCACAAGGAGCCGTGATGAGCCGTGACTAGCCGTAACTAGCTGTGACTAGCCATGACCAGCTGTGACTAGCCCTGACTAGCTGTAACTAGCTGTGACTAGCCATGACCAGCTGTGACTAGCCATGACTAGCCATGACCAGCCGTGACTAGCTAGCCATGACCAGCCGTGACTAGCCGTGACTAGCCATAGCTAATCTGACTCTGTGTGTAACAGCAGGCTGCAGGGTGCAATGCCACTCACAAGGTTGCAGAGAGAGCCGAAGACAAATCATTATTAAATGCCTGCTGTGCACTAGGTCCTGCTAGTGAGTTCTTTTCAAGCTCCTCCCAATGAAGACTGCATCTCAGGCAACTAAAGAAGCAGTAATAAAAGCCAGGGGCCACAATGCTCTGAGTGGGCAAGAACAGGTGAAGAACAGGTGAGAGGAAACACCCCACAGCCCCAGTTTGGCTGTGCTCTCTTATGTCCAGCTTCACTGCTGCACACAACTGTGACCATGTCCTAAGAGAAAGAAGAAAAAAAACCCACTAATGGTTCATGAGAATGAGGAGCGAGGAAGATCCAGGTCCTAGAGAGAGGAGGCTGTCTTGCGTACTTGATCACCTTTGGACCGTTTCACTCATTCCACAGATGAAAAGTCCCCAAAAGAGGTGAGAGATGTTTACTTAGATAAAACTTTCACTGTAGCGAATCTTAGCAAATCTCAGCTCCCAGAAGAACACAGGTGCATGGATTGAAAACACAACCAAATGCTCTAGGCCACAAATTGTGACATGTGACCCACAGGCCCCAGGAAGGGAGGCCTGACACCAGCACTGGCTCTGGCCTTAGCTCTCATCTTAATGTTCTTTAAGGGGGAATAAAAAGCAACAGATAAAATGCAGGGATGAGCTAAATCGAGAGGTGTTGCCAACACACCTGCAGAAGGGAAAATAAAGTGTGAAAATATGGAGTCTCAAAAGTATGAGAAAATCAAAGGCATGAAGGCAAGCCAAAACATCAAACTTCCTACTCACGGAGACAATGACCCTGACTCTGCATGGTAGACATTTGGAAAGCAGTTCTTGGCTAGGTGCAGTGGATCACACCTGTAATCCCAACACTTCGGGAGGCTGACGCAGGAGGATTGCTTGCGGCCAGGAATTTGAGACCAGCCTGGGCAGCATCCTAAAACCACATTGCTATTTTTTTTTTTTTTTTGAGACAGTCTTGCTCTGTCACCCAGGCTGGATTGCAGTGGACCAATCTCAGCTCACTGCAACCTCCGCCTCCCGGGTTCAAGCGATTCTCTTGCCTCAGCCTCCCAAGTAGCCAGGACTACAGGCGCCCGCCACCATGCCCAGCTAATTTTTGTATTTTTAGTAGAGACGGGGTTTCACCGTGTTAGCCAGGATGGTCTTGATCTCCTGACCTCATGATCCACCCGCCTCGGCCTCCCAAAGTGCTGGGATTACAGGCGTGAGCCACTGCGCCCAGCCAATTTTTTTTTTTTTTCATTAGCCAGTTGTGGTGTACATCTATCATCCCAGCTACTCAGGAGGCTAAGGTGGGATGATCTCTTGAGCCCAGGAATTCGAGGCTGCAGTGAGCTATGATCATGCCGCTGCACTTCATCCTCATCGACATAGTGAGACTATCTCTTCAAAAAAAAAACAAAAAAAACAGCCATACAAAAGCATGAGATCATGTCCTTTGCAGTGACATGGATGGAGCTGGAGGCCATTATCCTAAGGAACTAACTCAGAGACAGAAAATCAAAACTGCGTGTTCTCACTTGTAAGTGGAGGCAAAACAGTGAGTCCACATGGACATGAAGATGGAAACAGTGGACACGTGGCCTCCAAAGTGGGTGGGCAGGGACTTGCAGGGAGCAAGGGTTGAAAATGTACCCATCAGGTATGATGTTCACTCTCTGGGTAATGTGTACACTAGAAGCCCAGTATACAATGTACCCACGTAACAAGCATGCCCATGTACCCCCTCAATTTGAAATAAAATAAAATTTTAATAAATAAATAAAGCAGTTCTCCCTAAAGACAGGCAAGAGATAATGGAATTAATGTAAACTTTAATTTACATTAATTAAATGTAGTTAATGTAAACTTTAATTTACATTAGTTATGTAAATGAATAATTTACATTAATGAAATTAATTATGTAATTAATTACATAATTAATGTTCAGAAATAATGTAAACTTTTGCTACATTAAGGGAGGCCTACTTCCTGCAGGAAGCGTCTCTCGATGAGTCCCACTGATCCATGACACTCTTCACAGTCCCTCTGGGACTGCAATCTGATCTTCCCTAATCACTAACAATATAGCTATGCACGTGCTATCCATTTGTGTTTTTATTTGCCCTCTTTTCTCTATTAAATTGATTACTCCTGAAGAGTTCTAAACCCACTGTGCAGAGCTAAGGTGCAAAATGATTGCTAATTACAGAGCTCTGACTCAAGATTTGAGACACCCATTTAAGGGTTCAAAAATCTGTGCATTATAACCATTCGACTCTAAGCTCCTTGAGGCTGGTAGCCAGGTCCTTAATCTTTGTGTCCCTAACACTCAGCACAGCACTGGGTGTGGCTCTGGTTACAGGTATATGGAGGAACTCAGTATGTATCATGAATCTAGTGCGTTGCTTTCATGTGAAATAGCTCAGTTGAAACTTTTTCTTTTTTTTTTTTTTTTGAGACAGAGTCTCCCTGTGTTGCCCAGGCTGGAGTGCAGTGGCGCAATCTCAGCTCACTGTAACCTCTGCCGCCCAGATTCAAGCAATTCTTCTGCCTCAGCCTCCCAAGTAGCTGGCGCTGCAGGCACCCACCACCATGCCTGGCTAATTTTTGTATTTTTAGTAGAGATGAGGTTTTGCCATCTTGGCCAGGCTGGTCTCAAACTCCTGACCTCACATGATCCATCCACCTCGGCTTCCCAAACTGCTGAGATTACAGGCGTGAGCCACCGCACCCAGCCTGAAACTTAATCTAAAATATTGCATTCTGTTCTGAACATCTTATTGCCCGAAAGATAAATGTAGTGTATGATCACAGTAATTAAACAACTTAGAAGGGATGGCTTCAAAGTGAAGACTGAAGCAACTAGAATATGTATAAAATCTAAAAATAACTGGTAAAACAAGACTGTTTTCAGGAAGTCCATGTCTAGGGGTGAGAACAAAGAGAGAAACACACCTAGTTTAGGAGGTTTCAAAGGAGGGATGGATTTAAATTAAAATTAAGAAAGTGTAGGCAAGCTTTCAAGGTGAAAACAATGACCGTAAAATCTAGCAGACTGTGAAGTCATCTTCCTTAGTTACTGGAGGCCCATCACTGTTGAATTTTAAATGACACCTGGAAGATTCTCTAGTGCAATATTCACTTCTCTGCCAGCATAGAGCATTATGCTTTAGCAGTTTGGTTTTCAGAATAATTTATACTAAGTGATTAGGACTTCCCCCATATTCTTCTCTGGATAAAGTTAACATCGTTATTTCACTTAGAACTGTGAGAAGCCCCAAAATACAAAAAGCCTAAATGATATGCCAACACCACCAAAGAAGTTAGTGTGGCAGGGAAAGGGTTCGAATTCCAAGTTGCAAGCCACACTTCTCCCTACTTACCCCTCTCCGTGCCACAGTGAACAAGCGACTTTGCTGTTGCAGGATTCCCTGACCCAGAGCAACATACTTCTTGAGACCTACTCATGGCTTCTGTTTTGACCTCCCAAGTGCTACATTCAGGTCATCTTTATTTTTATGTTATTGACAAATTTACATAGACGTTTAAAGCCTTTCCTTCATGTATGCTCTTGTAGCTGAGATGCCCAGAACTGGTGTTTCCACCCCTTTATGGGGGAGGGGGAATGTAATCTAATGTTTAGAAGCTCAGGCTCCAAAGTCAGAAAGCCAGGGTTGAAAATGTGGCCCCACAGCTTTCTAGCTATGCAACCTTGGGCAAGATACTTAGCCTCCACTTTCTCTTTCCTCATCTATAAAATGAGGATGAAGACTGGGCACAGTGGCTCACTCCTGTAATCCCAGCACTTTAGGAGGCTGAGGCAGGTGGATCACCTGAGGTCAGGAGTTCCAGACCAGTCTGGCCAACACGACGAAACCTGATCTCTACTAAAAACACAAAAATTAACTGGGCGTGGTGGCGTGCACCTGTAGTCTCAGCTACTTGGGAGGCTGAGGCACGAGAATCGCTTGAACCCAGGAGGCAGAGGTTGCAGTGAGCTGAGATTGCACCACTGCATGCCAGCGTGGGTGACAGAGTGAGACTCTGTCTCAGAAAAAAAGAAATGAAATAAAATAAAATAAAATGAGGATGAATAATAATGCTTGCCTCATGAGGACTAAATTCGGTAATTTATATGAAAGGCTTAGAATAGTACTGGACACATAGTACAGCTCAATACACTTAAGCTATAATCATTACCTTTTGGTAATTTAAGGTAGACATTCCCTCCACATGTGGACTCTGAAATCTGACAGACCTCAATCCTTGAAATTCATCTGCATCATTGATCTCTTTCTTGGAGAGTCTCTTCCCACAAAAAGGATAACTTGGGGGGAAGCAAGAAGAGAACACAGGGTGGCATCTTCTGCCTCTGCTGGGTCGTCGGCTGGTTCTCCACTCTGGTGTGCCAGCTCTGTACTGGGGAGTAGAAAGCCTGGGGACTATATTTCCCAGTATACCAACTAGGAGCATTCCAACTTAGATTGGGCCGCTGAGAGGCACTCGAGTGAAATTTGGAAAATAGAAGAGAGGCAAGCCGGCTTGCTGCTCCCCCTTCAACAGGTGGCAAACACGGCAAGCATGAGTTTGCCTTGGCATTTGAGCATTTCCCCAGTGAATCCCACCTTGGTACTGCAGGCAAATGTGACCCTGGCAATGGTTTCTGCAGGTTCTGAAACTTGTTGTTTTTCCTGTAACTGGTGGTGGGCCTGAGGGCAATGAATGGCTTTCCTGAACCTTCGCACCTCTAGCCTTCCAGTGATTTTGAAGCTCTAATTCCTAGATCCCTAAATCTCTTCTTGCTTGAACAAAGAAGAACACTAGAGAAGTTACATTATGTGACTTCAAATTATACTACAGAGCTAAAGTAACCAAAACAGCATGTTACTGGCATTAAAAAGGACACATAGACCCCCGGAACAGAATAGAGAACCCAGAAGCAAATCCACACACCTAAAGTGAACTCATTTTTGACAAAGGTGCCAAGAACATACACTAGGGAAAAGACAGTCTCAATAGATGGTGCTGGGAAAACTGGATATCCATACACAGAAGAATGAAATTAGACCCCTATCTCTCAGCATACGCAAAATTCAAATCAAAATGGATTAGAGACTTAAATCTAAGACCTCAAACTGTTACAAGAAAGGAGTCTTGATCCAGACCCCAAGAGAGGGTTCTTGGATTTCGTGCAAGAAAGAATTCAGGGAGAGTCCAGAGAGTAAAGTGGAGGCAAGTTTATGAAGAAAGTGAAGAAATAAAAGAAAGGCTACTCCACACACAGAGCCCTTGGGGCTGCGGGTCGCCCATTTTTATGGTTATTTCTTGATGATATGCTAAACAAGGGGTGGATTATTCATGCCTCCCCTTTTTAGACCATATAGGGTAACTTCCCAACATTGCCGTGGCATTTGTAAGCTGTTACGGTGTTGGTGGGAGTGTAGCAGTGAGGATGACCAGAGGTCACTCTCGTCGCCATCTTGGTTTTGGTAGGATTTGGCCAGCTCCTTTACTGCAACCTGTTTTATCAGCAAGGTCTTTATGACCTGTATCTTGTGCTGACCTCCTATCTCATCCTGTGACTTAGAATGCCTTAACTGTCTGGGAATGCAGCCCAGTAGGTCTCAGCCTCGTGTTACCAAGATCCTATTCAAGATGGAGTTGCTCTGATTCAAACGCCTCTGACAAAACTGTGAAACTACTGCAAGAAAACATTGGGGAAAATCTCCAGGACATTGGTCTGGGCAAAAATTTCTTAAGCAATACTTTGCAAGCACAGGCAACCAAAACAAAAATGGACAAATGGGAACACATCAAGTAAAAAAGCTTCTGCATAGCAAAGGATGCAATCAACAAAGAGATGAGACAACCCACAGAATGGGAGAAAATATTTACAAACCACCCATCTGACACGGGATTAGTAACCAGAATATATAAGGAGCTCAAACAACTCTATAGGAAAAAGTCTAATAATCTGATCAAAAAATGAGCAAAAGATTTGAATAGCTATTTCTCAAAAGAAGACATAGAAATGGCAAACAGGCACATGAAAAGGTGCTCAACACCATGATCATTAGATAAAGCAAATCAAAACTGCAATGAGGGCCGGGCGTGGTGGCTCACGTCTGTAATCCCAGCACTTTGGGAGGCCGAGGCAGGTGGATTGCCTGAGCTCAGGAGTTCGAGACCAGCCTAGGTAACACGGTGAAACCCCGTCTCTACTAAAATACAAAAAATTAGCTGGGTGTGGCAGTATGCACCTGTAATCCCAGCCACTCAGGAAGCTGAGACAGGAGAATCACTTGAACCCAGAGGTGGAGGTTGCAATGAGCCAAGATTGCACCACTGCACTCCAGCCTGGGCAACAGAGCAAGACTCCGTCTCCAAAAAAAAAAACAAAAACAAAAACAAAAAAACTACGATGAGATATCATGCCAGCCCAGTTAAAATGGCTTACATCCAAAAGACAGGCAATAAGAAATGCTGGTGAGGATGCAGAGAAAAGGGGACCCTTGTGGGTGGGAATGTAAATTAGTAAACCACTGTAGAGAACAGTTTGGAGCTTCCTCAAAAAACTAACAATTGAGCTACCGTATGATCCAGCAATCTCATGGCTGGGTAGATACCCAAAAGAAAGGAACTCAGTATATTGAAGAGATGTCTGCACTGCTGCTTGTTACAGCACTATTTACAAGAGCCAAGATTTGGAAGTAACCTAAGTGTTCATGAACAGATGAGTGGATAAAGAAAATGTGGTAGATATGCACAATGGAGTACTATTCAGCCATAAAAAAGAATGGGATCCAGTCATTTGCAACAACATGAATGGAACTGGAGATCATTGTATTTAGTGAAATAAGCCAGGCACAGAAAAACAAACATCACATATTCTCACAATTAAAATAATAGGACTCATGGACATAGAGAGTAGGAGGATGGTGACCAGAGGCTGGGAAGGGGAGTAGGGGGGTGGGGATGGTAATGGGTAAAAAAAAAATAAAAAATAAAAAAAAGAATGAAAAAGGCCTACTATTTGATAGCACAACAGGGAGACTGTAGTCAATAATAACTGTACATTTTAAAATAACTTAAAGAGTGTAATTGGGTTGTTTGTAACTCAAAGGACAAATGCCTGAGGGGATGGACACCCCATTCTCCATGATGTGCTCCTTTCACATGGCGTGCCCGAACCAAACATCTCATGGACCCCACAAATACACACACATACGATGTACCCACAAAAATTCACAAGAAAGAAGAGAAAAATCTCTTCTTGCTTGAAATACCTAGAGCGGCCTCTGTCTTTCTGATCGATTTATTGCCTGAAGGAATGGAAGTCTCAATATACTCATTCAACAACTATATTGAGTGCCTAAAAGCAAGGCCCTGCTCTGGGTGTTAGGAATACAGCAGCCAACCAAACGGAAAGAGACCTGCCCTCCTGGAACTTACATTCTAGCGGAAATAAATAGGAATTGATAAGGGCAGGGCAGGTAGGACAGAGAGTGTGGGGTGGGGCAAGGGGCATCCTTATTTCCTAGGGTATTTGGGGAAGGTTCATTGCTAACAGGAGATCTGGGCTGGGACCTGCAGGAAGTGAGAGCCCTGGGCAGGAGGCTGTGTGGAAGGGCATTTAGAGCAGAGCGGATGCCGGCAACAAAGGCCCCGAGGCAGGAGCGCGCTCGGCGTGGTCTACGTGAGGAACAGCAAAGTCAACGGGCCTCTGCGGCTGCCAAGTCAGGGGAGAGCAGCACGAGGTGATGGCAGAGGGATACTGACAGCCAGCCTGGACATCCCATGGGGGCCGTGGTAAGCCCTTTGGCTTTTACTCCAAGAAAGATAAGAGGCCAAATGGAGGCTTCAGAGCAGAACAGCGACACGTCTGTTTTATGTTTTATTCAGATCACTGTGACTACACGTTGGGAACATAGTTACAGAGGCAAAGACCAGGAAGGATGTCATTGCAATCATCTAGATGACAAATAAAGGCAGCTTGGACCAGGCCAGTAGCCATGGGAGGAGGAGCACTGGAGATAGATGATATAGATCTAGGTGTAGATATAGGTAGATATCGATGATAGATATCGATGATATAGATAGATATAGATGATAGAGATAAATCTATATGTGGGTGTATTTTTAAAATTGTGATAAAGTCCATATAACATACTTCCCTGGCAGGGAAGGTGCCATGATCATGAAGATGGTTTTCCCAGAGTGAGGCTCACCCACTGCACTCCAGGTAGGCTGACCCCTGCCATTTCTCCAAATGCAGGAAACTCAACTGCATAATTTGTGGTAGTGGGGGACTTTGTCCACGCTTCTCCTGTGTCACTCTTGTCCAATGAGAGATCATAACTTGAAGTCGGTGGTCTTTATTGTATAATTTATTTATTATAAAAATGCATACAACATAAAAGCATCTTCAGCGTTTTGGAGTGTACACTGAGTGGTATTACATACATTCACATTGTCGTGCACCCATCACCCCCATCCATCTCCAGAGCTCATTTCATCTTGCAGAACTGAAACTTTGTACCCATTGAGCAGTAACCCCCCATTTTCCCCTCCCCAGAGCCCCTGGCATCCACATTCCACTCTCTGTCTCTAGGAATCTGACTCCCTGAGGTACTTGAGATAAGTGGAATCACAGTGTTGGTCCTTTGGGAACTGCCTTATTCCCTTACCATAATGTCCTCAAGGTTCACCCATGCTGACTGGCCAGATTGTGAAGGTAGGATTTGGCGGATTGGATGAGGAGGGAGAGGGAGAAAGAAGGGAGGCAAGGATGATTCTGAGACTTGGGGCCTGAGCAGAGGAATGGAATGCTTGGTAGAAGGTGAGCTGATACCCGAGTCCACAGGATGTCCAGCTTCCCGTCTCTTCTGTCTCTGCCACACCCCACACACTGCCCCAGCTCTCGGTGGGCAGAGGATTCTTCAGGCCTTACTGCAGCTCACATGTCAACAAGAGATGCTGAAACATTTTCATCTTTCCGTCATCCAAATGAAGGAAATGAGGGGCCGTGGATATTCATCCTCCCCTCTGCCAGTGTAGGGAAAACAGAGAACAGATGAGGCAGGAGCATCAGAGAACAGATGAGTGTCTCAAGGGCGGATCTGCGCACCCTCGGGATCAGCAGTGCACTAGGAACTCCTGTGAGATGAGAGGCTGAGACAATCGCACACACATTATCTTAACCCAAACAAGGAGTGAACGTCCAGCCAGAAAAGCTTCTCCCCGTGCCCGGCCCCACAGGCACCAGACAGCTCAGTCCCTGCTTCACGAGCAAGCGCTCAGAGCCCACGGCTTGCTTCTTTCCTCTTCCCACAGCCACCCCGCTTGGTCAGCCCTCAGTTCCACATAACTGGGGAGATGGCAGTAGTGCCCCATGAAATTTGTCCCATCCCCATTAAGTGGTTTTCTTGTTTGTTTGTTTGTTTTTGAGATGGAGTCTTGCTCTGTCACCAAGGCTGGAGAGTGCAGTGGCGTGATCTCAGCTTGCTGCAAGCTCTGCCTCCCGGGTTCAAGCGATTCTCCTGCCTCAGCCTCCCGAGTAGCTGGGATTACAGGTGTGCACCACCGCACCCGGCTAATTTTTGTATTTTTAGCAGAAACAGGGTTTCGCCATATTGGTCAGGCTGGTCTCGAACTCCTGACCTCAGGTGACCCGCCCGCCTTGGCCTCCCAAAGTGCTGGGATTCCAGGCATGAGCCACCATGCCTGGCCTCCTGTTAAGTCTTAAAAGGAGCTACAGATGCATCTTTCCTGGAGCACAGCTTGGCGGTGCCATTCCCTGCTCAGAGCGTGTTAGCGGATCTCATTGTCTAGAGCATCAGTTCCATGGTAGGAGGGACATCCCGGGGCACATCAGGCGTTTTGGAGGAGCTCTCTCCGACTATCTCCAGCCCCTGGAGCTTCTCTGTGAGCTGGACCTTCTCTCCCAACCTCGGAATCATGGGTCTGCGGCATCAACTCTGCGTGGCCTTCAAGGCCGTCCTGGAGCCAGCCCCGGAATAACCCCACTATGCTTCACCTCCGCTACTCTTGTCCACAGACTCTAAGGTCCAACCAAACTGAACGACTAATTACTCCCTGACGAGCTCGCCCCCTCCCACCTCTGTTTTGCCTTCGCCCACAATGGCCTTCCTCCTCTCACCACATATTCATTCAGATCCTTCCTCCTACCATGCCCAGCTTCAGTGCTACCTCCTCCAGGAAGCCCTCTCTGATATCTGCAACTGGGTGCACTATCTTCTTCCCCAAACCCCCACAGCCATCTCGTGTGGGGTGTGGGCTGCTTTCTTGTGGCTGTGATTTCCTATAAAATCTTTCTCTCCTATCAGACCATGAACTCTCCAAGGACGCCATTCGCCCACATTCCTATTAGTTCCCCTCACAGGGCCTCACACGTGTCTTTTAGGCTTCAGAGTTGGTTAAATCAACAAAGAAATGAGACAATTATTTATTTTAGTCAGATATTCAACTTAAAAATCATTCAGCGGGGGCACTCCTGAGACTGTCAGGATCATGTTCGGTTCCTCGCAGTTTGCCGGCTATTGGCATTTGTGTCATCACACACAGTCCGATGAGGTGACAACAGAAAAGCATATCTCACTTCTGTTGTAGGTTTCCATTCACTTTCGGATTCTCAATCGCCCTCTATTTCCTCAGTGATACTCCAGACTTTTCAGATGTTCTCATTGACCCATTCATCTTTCTTTCTTTTTTTTGCAAAACCAAAAAGCAAGAAAAGAACTTTATATTTTGTCCAATAGTCCTAAGAAATTTTCCCTGTAGAGAATGTCATCTAAGTCAAAACAAGGGTTGAATAGGGGCACCCAAATCAGTTATCACTTAGGGCTGTTATAAGAAATGCCAAGACTGGGTGGCTTAAACAGCAGACAGTCGTCTCTCACCGTCTGGAGGCTGCAAATCCAAGATCAAGGTGCTAGCATGGTCAGTTCTGGCGAGGACCTGCTTCTGGGCTCAAGAGCACTACCCTCCCCCCGTATCCTCACATGGTCGGTCTCCAGCCTCTTCTCATAAAGGCGCTGATCCCATTCATGACGGCTCCACTCTCACAGCGTAATCACCTCCCAAAGGCCCCGCCTCCAAATACTGTCACACAGGGATTAGGATTTCAGCATAGGAATTCTGGGGGGACACATTCAGTCCATGGCCCCCTGTACCTGTGAATGTGATCTTATTTGGAAATAGGGTTTTGTAGATGAAATTAAGTTAAGGATCTTGAGATAAGATCATCCTGGACTTAGGGTGGACCCTAGATCCAGTGACTAATGTCCTTATAAGAGAAAGAAGAGGGAGATTGGAGACACACAGACACTGTGGAGAAGCGCGGGAGAAGAGGTCCTGTGAAGGCAGAGAGGCAGGGACGGGAGTGACGCAGCGGCAAGACGAAGAACGCCTGGGGCCAGCAGTAGCTGGAGAGGCAGGGGCGAGGGCGATCCTCCCCTAGGACCTAGGGGGAGAGCGTGGCCCTGCTGCCACCTGGATTTTGGATTTCTGTTTTGAGCCATCACGTTTGTGGCAACTCACCCTGACGGGCTTAGGAAACTAGTGCGTTAACCCATTGCATCAGTGCACAGAATAACACCCCGACTTGTTCCTGGGCCAGCCTCCTACCTATTAGACCCTACCTCTCATTCCTTTTTTTTGTTTGTTTTGTTTTGTTTTGTTTTGTTTTGAGGCAGGGTTTCACTCTGTTGCTCAGCCTAGAGGTGCAGTGGCGTGATCATGGCTCACTCAGCCTTGACCTCCTGGGCTTAAGTGACCCTCCCCCTCAGCCTCCCAAGTAGCTTGAACTGCAGGTGCATGCCACCCTGCCCAGCTAATTTATATATATATATATATATACACACACACACACATATATATACACACACATACACACACACACACACACACACACATATATATATATATATATATATTTTTTTTTTTTTGTAAAGACGGGGTTTCACCATGTTGCCCATGCTGGTCTCAAACTTCTGGGCTCAAGCAGTCCTCCTGCATCAGCCTTCTGAAGTGCCAGGATTACAGATGTGAGCCCCCACGCCCGGCTTCTCCCTCCTTTTTATCATTCCCTCTCCCCTCGTCTTCCTTGGCTTTCCTCCTCACACCTCCTGCGTTTGGCCCCCTTCCATTTTCTTTCTGCTTCTCTTTCCCAACTTCCCCCTCATCATGCCACAGGGACTCCTGGGCTCCGTGCCACCCCCCTGGAAGTCCCCCATAATGAAGCAGGATTTATGCCTCACACTTCACCGTGGGAGAGCAGAAACCTCTCATTTGAAGCAAAAGGCACTGAAAATAAGCAAATAGTTATGCATTTGTCACTATCAGGTCCTAGCTGGCTTCCGCCCTACCCCCCGGCCCCCACCATCTTCTTACTCATTCAGGTCATCGTGTCCTCTGATACCCAGTAATTTCCATCATTTTCTACATGCATTTCTGTTGGTCTTCTGAGAACTGTGATTTTCCAAAGCAGAAAGGGCACATCGTCTTTCCGGAGCCTGGAAGGTGCAGGCACTGATGCGTTGGGGGAGATCACAGTGTGACAAGGATGGGGTGGGAGTGTGTCACCCCCCTTTGTACCGACCCTCAGCAGTGGGGAGTGAGCAGAGGAGATAGAACCTGGGAGGAAGAGAGATTTCCAATTACTTCCTTCCCGGTCCCTTCTCCACTGGAGCCTGTTATTCCTCTGCTGCTGGGGCCTCTGAATGTTCTCTCACTGAGCCAGGAAAGAGCTTAGTGAATAAAGAACGAGGTGTCCTAGCAGTGCAGGGAAGATGTCCAGGACAGTGAGTGTGAACGTGGGGTCCTGGAGAATGTGCACGCCAGCCCTGCCGCCTGGTGGGCTCTGCAATCAGCCCCCCAAAACCATTCACCAATCACCTTAGACAACTGCGTGTGCAAAAGCCCTCTTTTTGTGTCCTTTGAAGCTTATATTTTTTTATCAGGCTGGGGGCGTGGCTCATGCCTGTAATCCCAGCACTTTGGGAGGCCGAGGCGGGAGAATCACTTGAGCCCAGGAGGTCGAGGCTGCGATGAGCTATGATCATGCCACTGCACTCCAGCCTGGGTGACAGAGTGAGGGCCCATCTCTACAAAAATTTAAAAATTAAAAAAAAAATCTTTATCAAAGAAATACATGTGCAAATAATATCAAAAGGCTTATTTTTTAAAATCCCCAGTCCTGGCTGCCCCTCCCCTCCACACCTGTCCTCCTCCCCTCTGAGGTGACCATTTTGAGGTTTTTGAGGTATTCACCTCTGCTTTTCTAAATGCGCTTGCTCTGCTGTTTCTTGATTTATCCATTTGAGACATCAGCTCTTTACTCTGTGCTGTGGTGCATGACAATTTAGCTCTTACCGTACTCACTGCTCGCTCCTCCTCTCAACAAGACATTAATAAAAATAGGAACGGGCTCTTATTTCTGGAGCGCTCACTAGGTATCAGGCACTGTTATATTCTGGCAGGGTGGCCCCCTTCCCTCCCTGATGCACTCTCCACGCGGCTCCCAGGACTCCCCACTCCCTCCCTCTGGTTCCTTCCACCGAGTCACCTTCTCGGATCCGTCCCTTCTCTGTACCCTCTGAAGGATGGGCACCCAGGGCTCGGTCCTCCGGCCCCTCTTCTCCATCTGCGCTCCCCGCCGCTCATTGGTGGTCTCACCAGTCTCGTGGTTCCGAAAATCTTCCCTGTGCTGATGCCTCCCAGAGCCCCATCTCCAGCCCTGTCCCCAGGCCCCTCAACACTGGCCCGATTTTGAGGCTGTGCCTCCAGAAGACAGAAGCAGCGTGGAGTCATGCAGTCAGGATGGGGCTGGCAGATGGAAGTCCTCGTCTAGAACTGGCCCTACCACCTCCCAGGAGTGTGGCCTCTGGTGACAGACTTCACTTCTCCACCATAAATGTTATTGCTTTCTCTGTACAAATGCTCTTTCTTACCCTGTGGATTGACTATAAGAATCAAGTCATGGCGAGGGTTTTGGAAGTGGAAAAGCCTTACGTTAGTGGAATTGGTTATTATTTCTCTTTTTTATTTTTTATTTTATTTTCAAGATGTGGTCTTGCTCTTTAGCCCAAAGCTGGAGTGCAGTGGTGCGATCATAGCTCACTGCAGCCTCGAACTCCTGGGCTCAAGTGATCCTCCCACCTCATCCTCCCAAGTACAGGCTACAGGTGTGTCACTACCCTGGCTAATTTTTTTTTTTTTTTTTGACTTTTTGGTAGAGACAAGGTCTTGCTTTGTTACCCAGGCTGGTCTCAAACTCCTGGCCTCAATGATCTTTTCACCTCAGCCTCCCAAAGTGCTGGGATTACAGGCATGAGCCACTGTGCCCAGGCTGTTATTTCTGCTTGTACTCCTCCACACTTCCTTTTCTCTCTCTTAATCTTTCCCATTCTGTCCTTTGTGATCAGCATTTATTTCACAGCCATTTATTGAGCAGCTAGTATGTGGCAGGCACCGTGGGAGCCACACACAGGGCTCTTGCTTGCACGGGGGTCACAGCCTCACTTTCAAAAGGCCTGGGTGCGCCTTGGTCTTTGTTTTCCTCTCCATTTTCTTTTTCTTTTCTTTTTTTTTTTTTTTCCTAGATGGAGGTATGCTCTTGTTGCCCAGGCTGGAGTGCAGTGGAGTGATCTCGGCTCACTGCAACTTCTGCCTCCTGGGTTCAAGCGATTCTCCTGCCTCAGCCTTCTGAGTAGCTGGGATTACTGGCACCTGCCACCATGCCCAGCTAAATATTGTATTTTTAGTAGAGATGGGGTTTCAACATGTTGGCCAGGCTGGTCTCGAACTCTGGACCTCAGGTGATCTGCCCGCCTCGGCCTCCCAAAGTGCTGTGCTTACAGGCGTGAGCCACCGTGCCTAGCCTTCCTTCCATTTTCTTTCCCTGTCACTCTCATCCTACCTTAACCCTCAATGATTCTGTTCTTTAATAGGTCTAATTTCATAAATGAAACAGATGCTTTACTCATTATATTATTGTTGAAATCCATGTTCCTTTTTAAAAACACGAGTGAATACTGCTTCTTTAAAAAAACAAAAAACTTCCCTAGAGTAAGTTTCTTTTTACTGAAGGGTCTCATATTTATCTTTTTTTTTTTTCTAGAATCATTGACCCTTTCCAGAAATAAGCTCCTTGACAAGTTTGTTTTCACAAATGCAGGCAGATATAAATATGCCGTCATATTTGTGCAATTTACAAAGTTGTACAATCCTCAAAGTAGTTGATCCTCACTTTCATCTCTTCCTAAACAAAATTGCAATCCAGAAAATAAAAATATCCCTTAGAAAACCTCCACACCTGTCTGAAGAACTTGTGGTGATAATGATCTCCGTGGAGTTGGATGAGCCTCTGAGTCTGACAAGTGTCTTCTAATCTGAAGTTTTGCACCCCTGGTATTTGTGACTATGACCCGTAATCTTCTTTTCACAGTATTAAGTGTGTCGTAGAGCCAGAGTCTGGTTGGCTGAGGGCCTGTTTCTCAAATCTGCGTGGTCATGTCAGAGGCATTTGAATCAGAGTGATGAGGGGCTGAGTAAAATGAGGCTGAGATCTGCTGGGCTGCGTCCCCAGCCTGTTAGGCATTCTAAGTCACAGGATGAGACAGGAGGTCACCACAAGATACAGGTCATAAAGACCTTACTGATAAAACAGGTTGCAGTAGAGAAGTGGCCAAAACCCACCAAACCCAAAATGGTGATGAGAGTGGCCTCTGGTCGACCTCACTGCTCATTATATGCTAATTATAATGCATTAGCATGCTAAGAGACACTCCCACCTGCGCCATGACAGTTTACAAATGCCAGGGCAATGTCAAGAAGTTATCCTACACGGTCTAAAAGGGGGAGGAACCCTCCGTTCCAGGAATTGCCCACCCCTTTCCCTCATGAATAATCCAGCCCTTGTTTAGCATATAATCAAGAAATAATCATAAAAATGGGCAACCGGCCCGGCGTGGTGACTCACGCCTGTAATCCCAGCACTTTGGGAGGCCGAGGCGGGTGGATCACGAGTCACGCCTGTCATCCCAGCACTTTGGGAGGCCGAGGCGGGTGGATCACGAGGTCAGGAGATCGAGACCATCCTGGCTAACATGTGAAACCTCATCTCTACTAAAAATACAAAAAATTAGCCGGGCATGGTGGCGGGCGCCTGTAGTCCCAGCTACTCGGGAGGCTGAGGCAGGAGAATGGCGTGAACCCGGGAGGCGGAGCTTGCAGTGAGCCGAGATTGTGCCACCGCACTCCAGCCTGGGCGACAGAGCCAGACTCCATCTCAAAGAAAAAAAAAAAAAAATGGGCAACCAGCAGCCCTCGGAGCTGCTCTGCCTATGGAGTAGCCATTCTTTACTCCTTTGTTTTCTTAACAAACTTGCTTTCACTTCACTCTATGGACTCCCCCTGAATTCTTTCTTGGGCGATATCCAAGAACCCTCTCTCGGCGTCTGGATCGAGACTTCTTTCTGATAACAGTCCTACTATCTGTGGAAGCCCTAGGGTCCTGAGGAACTTGTGAGGACAATCTGGCTTCCTGGGAAAACCCTCAGCCCCAGCCACTAACAGGGCAGGACATATGGGGAGGAAAGAGCCTTGATATCATCCCATATGTTGAAAAACAATTGCTATTCCAACTACAGTTGCTTCTGCCTTCTAAGGCAGGTGTCATGATTCATGTGATGTGAAGATCAAGTCCTTGCCTTCCCTTTGGCTTAAAAAGATTGCTGATGGAAAACTGAGAGAATTTGATTGAGTTGAGGCATAGGATAACCACCAAGTTTGTGCAGGTGCTTGCAGCCCTAAGGGGAGAGGTGCAGAATGGGTGGTCCCTTGCTAAGCAGAGGCTTTGGAAATGCCGCAGCAGGAGGTGGGAGAGTGGAATTGCTCTAGGAGGTGAGACAAGGAGCTGACATTGAGCCAGAGAGGGAGAGCCAAAACCTGGGGGAAGGCTGGGCTACAAAGAAAGGACAGAGCCAGGGAGAAATTTCCCACAGCAGTAATGGTGAAAAACACTTTTTTAAATGGGCGAATATCATGGATGCTCGTAGCAACATTTTCGTAATAGCCAAAAAGTGAAAACAGCACAAATGCTCATCAGCTGATGAAGGGATAAGCAAACATGGCATCTCCAAACAGTGGAACGAAGTGGTGTGATCCTGAGTGGGGTCTGTGAAGCACAGCAGGCTTGGCCAGCCACGGTAACCACGATGGGTCCATCGCTGGATGGGACCAGAAAGTGAATACGCCGAGGCATAGGGTTGTAGCAGAGAAAGAGGTTTCATCGTAGGGCCACCGAAGGAGGAAATGGGAGGAAACGTCAAATCCATCTCCCTGAGGAGTTTGGGGCTGGGGTTTTTAAGGGTTTGGGAGTGGAGACTGGAGTGTGGAGATGGTTGATTGGTCGAAGTGTGCAGGGTGGAGTCATGGGAGAGGGAGACGAAGCTGTATTTTCATGCTGATCACATTCCTCTGTGGGGGTCTTCAAACTGGTTGGTGTCGGCTGTTTTGCTGGAATTCAGGATCTGAAAAACATCTTAAGCAAGTCTTAAACAAAAATCTTATGATTCTAATGTCAGAGATCCCATCTATTTTAAACAAAAGCCTTGTGATTCTAAGGTCAGAAATTGTATCTATAGGAACAACGGGGATGCAAATGTTACCTAGTGCTACGTCACTGTTGGTTACAAGGAAGTGGGTCAAAGTGCAGGCTGACTGATGCTTACTTACAACTATATTTCTGTCCAGAATTCTTCTTAATCCTGTGAGGATGGCTCACCATATCGTGCTCAATCATGGTGCCAAAATGCCTGTCCTGGGGCTGGACACCTAGAATTCCCCTCCAGGCCAAGTGACGGAGTCTGTGAAGCTTGAGAACGTTGCCACTGTCAGCAAGCTGCGGTGCTCATACCATGAGAAGAGCCTGATAAAGGAGCCTGTCAGAAGACCCTCAGGGGACCACCTGGATTCCTACCTTATTCACTGGCCAACAGGCTATTTTTCCTGTTGGATGGGACAGACAACGTGGTACCTAGTGACACCAACTTCATGTCACATGGGTGGCCACATGGAGGAGCTGGTGGATGAAGGGCTCTGAAAGCTTTTGGAATCTCCAACTGCAGCCATCTCCAAGAGATGGTAAAGAAACCTGGCTTAAGACCAGGTGTGGTGTCTCAGCCTGTAATCCCAGCACTTTGGGAGGCCAAGGCGGGAGGATCACTTGAGCCCAGGAACTCGAGGCTGCAGTGAGTTATGATCATGCCACTACACTCCAGGCCTGAGTGATAGAGTGAGACCCTGTCTCTAAATATATATATATATATATGACAGACAGAAAAAAAGAAACCTGGCTTAAAAACAGTGGTTAACCACAGTGAGTGCCACCTGCACCCACCTCAGGAGAAGTTAATCCAGGGCTGCCAATCCAAAGGCAAGGTGGTGACTGCCTGTAGTCCCCTCAGCTCTCGTGACAGGTCTGGGGGATCCCAGCACCAAAGCAATCACAGCCAAGCACAGTAAAAAAAATAAACAAATAAAAACGCAGCCCAGGTTCTGATCTGGTTTCCCATGCATAGGAATTTGGTGGTAATTCCTATCATCATTTCGGTGGTGATGCTGGAACGCACTGCTGAAAACTTGGAGGACTTCGACTTTCAACTGAGCAGCCTGATGTGACCACTGTAGTCAGCTACAACAGGAACGGGAGGGTCTGTG